>NC_000009.12:39858484-40010000 GCF_000001405.40 Homo sapiens | reverse complement strand
TAAATGGAGACAAAAAGAAATCTAGAGCAATGAAACAGTGTAGTTGTTTTGTTTTTTTAATTAATTTCAACTTTTATTATAGGTTAATGAAAGACTGTTACATGAGTAATTGTGTGATGCTGAGGCTTGGAGTCCCAGTGATCCTACCACCCAGGCAGTAACACAGTACCCAACAGGTAGTTCTTCAGCCCACAACCCCTACCTTTCCTCCCCAATCTAGTGGTCCCCAATGTCTATTGTTCCCATCTTAACATGTGTATTCAATGTTTAGCTACCATCTATAAGTGAGAAGATGTGGTATGTGGCTTTCTGTTCTTCTATTAGGTCACTTAGGATAATGGTCTCCAGCTCCATTCATGTTGCCACAAAGAACATGACTTTGTTCATTTTTATGGCTGCATTGTTTTTTGTGATGTATACATACCATATTTTCTTTACCCAATTCTCTATTGATGGACACCTAGGTTAATTCTATTGCTTTGGTATTGTGAATAGTGCTGCAATGAACATACGGGTGCATGTGTCTCTTAGATAAAATAAATTATTTTCCCTTGGGTATATATACTCAATAGTGGGATTGCTGGGTCAAATGGTAGTTCTATTTTAAGTTGTTTGAAGAATCTCAAAACTTCTCTCCACAGTGGCTGAACTAGTTTCCATTCCCACCTACAATGTATAAGCGTTCCCATTTCTCCACAGACTTCTCAACATCTGTTGTTTTTTGTAAGTTTTAATAATTGCCATTCTGACTGGTGTGAGACGGTATTTCATTGTGGTTTTTGCATTTGAATTTATGTGATGATTAGTGAAGTTTAGCAATTTTTAATGTTTCTTGTCTGCTTGTTACGACACCTTTTGAGAAATGTCTGTTCATGTCCTTTGCCCATTTTTTAGGTGGATTTTTTGGATTTTTTGCTTGTAGATTTGTTTAAATTCCTTACAGATGCTGGATATTAGACCTTAATGAGAAGCATACTTTGCAAATATTTTCTCCCATTCTTTAAGTTGTCTGTTTACTCTGTTGATAGTTTCCTTTGGTAGGCAGAAGCTCTTTAGTTTAATTAGATCCCACCTGTCAATTTTTGTTTTTGTTGCAAGTGCTTTCGGGAACTCAGTCATCCATTTGCCAAAGCCTATATCAAAAAGGGTACTTCTTAGATTTTCTTCTAGTATTATTATAGTTTTAGGTCTTACTCGTAAATCTTTAATCTATCTTGAGTTAATTTTCATCTATGTTAAGAGGCAGGGGTCCAATTTCAATCTTCTGTATATGGCTAGCCAGTTACCACAGCACAATTTATTGAATAGGGATTTTTTTTCCATTGCTTGTTTTTGTCAGCTTCTTCAAAGGTCACATAGTTGTAAGTGGGCAAATTTAGTTCTGGGTGCTGTATTCTCTTCCACTGGTCTGTGTGTCTGTTTTTGTATCAGTACCACGCTGTTTTGATCACTGTAGCCTTATAGTACAGTTTGAAGTCTGGCAATGTGATACCTCTGGCTTTTCTTTTTGCTTAGGATTGCTTTGGCTATTCAAGCTCTTTTGTGGTTCCAGATGAATTTTATAATAGGTTTCATTCTAATTACTTAAAAAATGACATTGGTATTTTGATAGGAATAGCATTGAATCTGTAAATTGCTTTAGGCAGTATATCCATTTTAACAATATTGATTCTTCCAATCCATGAGCATGGATATTTTTCCATTTATGTGTCATCTCTGATTTCTTTCAACAGTGTCTTGTACTTCTCCTTGTAGTGGTCTTTGACCCCCTTGGTTGGATGAATTCCTAGGTATTTCATTTTCTTTGTGGCTATTGTAAATTGGATTGTGTTCTTGATTTGGTTATTAGCTGCAATGATTTTGGTTCATAAAAATGCTACTTATTTTCCTACAATGTTTTTATTTCTTGAAACTTTACTGAATTCACTTGTCAGTTCAAAGAGCCTTCTGATGGAAACTTTAGGGTTTTCTATGTGTAGAATCACAGCATTGGCAAAGAGAGATTGTTTAATTTCTTTTCCTATTTGGATGGCTTTTGTTTCTTTCTCTTGCCTGTTTGCTCTCACTAGGACTTTCAGTGCTATGCTGAATAGAAGTGGTAAAAGTGGGCATCCGTGTCGTGTCTCAGTTCTCCAGGGGTGTGGTTCCAGCTTTTGCTGTTCAGTTTGATGGCGACTGTGGGTTTGTCATAGATAGTTTTATTATTTTGAGGTATGTTCCTTCAATGCCTAATCTGTTGAGGGTTTTTATCATAAAAGGAACGTTGAATTTCATTTATTTATTTATTTATTTATTTTTGAGATGGAGTCTCACTCTGTTGCCCAGGCTGGAGCGCAGTGGCGAGATCTCAGCTCACTGCAAGCTCCACCTCCCGGGTTCACGCCATTCTCCTGCCTCAGCCTCCAAAGTAGCTGGGACTACAGGCGCCCGCCACCATGCCCGGCTAATTTTTTGTATTTTTAGTAGAGACGGGGTTTCACCGTGGTCTCGATCTCCTGACCTCATGATCCGCCCGTCTCGGCCTCCCGAAGTGCTGGGATTACAGGCGTGAGCCCCCGCGCCTGGCTGGAATGTTGAATTTTATTGATGGCTTGTTCTGTATCTATTGAGATGATCCTATGTTTTTTGTTTTTGATTCTGTTTATGTGGTGAATCACATTTATCAATTTGCATATGTTGAATCAACTTTATATCCCAGGAATAAACCCTACTTGGTCATAGTGAATGAACTTTTTGATGTGCTGCTGGATTTGGTTTGACAATTTTTGCTTGTATTTTCATCAGAGATATTGATCTGTAGTTTTCTCTTTTCTTTTTCCGTGGTCTATGCCAGATTTGGTAACAGGGTAATGCTGGCTTTGTAGTATGAGTTAGATAGAAGCCCCTCCTCCTTGATTTTTTGGAGACATTTCAGTAGGATTGGTATCATTTCTCCCTTGCCCCTCTGATAGAACTCAGCTGTGAATCCACCTGTTACGGGGCTTTTATTTTATTTTTTTTCGTAGGTTTTTATTACTAATTCCATTTCCAAACTTCCTATTGGTCCGTTCAGGTTTTCACTTTCTTCCTGATTCAGTCTTGGGAGATTGTGTGTTTCCAGGAATTTATTCATTTCCTCTAGATTTGTGTGCAGAGAGGTGCTCATAATAGTCTCTGCATATCTTTTGTATTTTCATGGGATCAATTTTAATATAATCTTTATAATTTCTGATTATACTTATTTGGATCTTCTCTTTTTCTTTGCTAATCTAGCTAATGATCTATCAGTATTGTTTATTAAAAAAAACTCTTGGCTTCATCTTTTGTGTGGACTTTTAGATAACAATTTTTTTTCAGTTCTCTGACTTCAGTTATTTTTTTTCTTCTACTAGCTTTGGGGTTGGGTCTTTTCTGTTGCTTTTTTTCTAATTCCCCTAGTTGCTATGTTAGGTCATTAACTTGAGACCTTTTTGTCCCCCTGATGAATGCATTTAGCACCGTCAATGTTCCTCTTAACACTGCTTTAATGTAGTTTTTGAGTCATCATTGCTATAATGGTTAAGTCCAATAGGCCAAAGGCATGAAAAAGTAGTTAGTTATGGGGTGCTTCTACCATGTTTCAGATATGTTTTTCCCTTTGAAGTGACCCATTCACATAATGCCCTTGGCCTGCTTTCCCCATCCACTCACTTTGCCCCGGCAAAATGGTATGAGGTACTTATTCAGAGAGTTTAAACAAAAACTTGAGGATGCATACCCCAGAATCATTCTTACCTTCTGCCTCTCTGAGGCTCAGAGAAAGCTTACAGTCTGCTCTCCTAAAAACATGTGCATTGCCTGTCAAAGGAGTTCTGTTCTAGTTCAATGTTGTTTCTGTCTGAGTGGGTTCATCTATATAACACTGAGATTCAAGTTTAGGAAGCTGACTCATGTCCATATATGAATCACATTCTGCAAGATCTGCTTTAGTTGTGTTAAATTTATTTTGCTTTCTTCCCTTCTTGTAAGAAACCTATACTATAAGAACTCTAAGTTATGATTTTATAATCTGTTCTCTTAACTTTGAATGTACTTTAGGAACAAATATGCATAAACGTTAATCAGTTTCTCTATACAAAATTATTTTTATCTTCTGTTATAATTAAATACAATCATTTCTTAATAGTCAGTTTGTATAAAATCTTTATCAATTATCTCTGTCTATAAACTTTAGGAAAATATGTAAAATCTTGTTCTACCTATTTTGAAAATGGTTATTTCTTTATGGTGAGAATTTGGATGATAAATTTAGTTTCATCTTAATTACTTATACTTTTTATTGCTTTCTTGTTAGACTGCTCAGGCTGCCGTAATAAAATGCAATAAACTTGGTGTCTTATACAACAAAATGTTTTCCGCATAGTTTGGAGGCTAAGAAGTACACGATCAGCATACACATAGTCAGTTTCTGCTGAGGGTATTCTTCATGCTTGTCACACAGATACCTTTTGTTGTGTTCCCAAAGGGAAGAGAGATAGAGAAACACACAGAGAGACAGAGACAAAGGAAGTGTACAAGAAAGTGCTCTTCTGTGTCTTTTATAATAAATTCACTAATTCCATCATGAGGACTCCATCCTCATGGTTTCATCTCAACCTTTTGACCTCCAAAGGCCCACATCTCCAAAACCATAATACTGGGGATTAGGGCTTCAAAATTTAAATTTGGGGTGGGAGGGACACAAACATTTAGTCCAAAATATTTGCATTTTAAATTAATGAGAATCCATTCAAACTAAAAAATAGGGTCATTATTATTGATTTTCAAAAAAAGAAATTTGAAAAAAAAGATTTGTCTCTGATTTACTCTTTGAAGAGAGAGTCACATATTGTAGAAAGTGATTGTTAACAACTTCCCCTTAAAAATAGTTTGCCAATTTTAAACCAAAGAAAATCCCAATAATCTATAGTCCCATACCATTAAGTGTACCTAAAAATTGTCATCCTATGAAATGTATACATTATCTTACAATGCATTGTGAAGAATGCCTAGGATTATTAGAATTACTAAATGAGCAAAGTTAATGGATATAAAATAGAATACAAAATCAATTTTCTATAATTAACGGAAATATTTAAGAAATACAATTTCAAAAGTAAACTTCAGTAGCTACTAAAGCAAGATTGTTTATAATAAAAAGACAATGTATCTCATTCTCACTCTATACATCTCATCAAGAATATAAATTTGAAACACAAAGCTTTAAAATTTTAAAAGCAATTTAGCCTGAATCTCAGAGTATGAAAAAAATTTTCAAACCAGCACAAAAACTGACTGGAGCAAGATGATTTGTAAGTTTGGTCCCACTCATATCAAGAGTATCTGTTCCTTCTAAATCACCATTGGTAAAATGAAAAATCATCATAAACAGCATGGCAACATTTGCAAGTACATAACAATCTATTAAAATTCATGATACAATTAATTTATGTTAAGGATTTAGAAAAAGACATAAAAATTAAAATAGGAAAATACCTAAGCAGAGTTTTTAAATAATAAAAAAGTTAAAATATATGAAATGGTACCAAAGCTTATTATTAATTCAAATTAAAACTATAAAACAACAAAATACAATTTCTTTTTTTTTTTTTTTTTTTGAGAGGGAGTCTCACTCTGTCACTCAGGCTGGAGTGCAGTGGCATGATCTCAGCTCATTGCAACATCCACCTCCTGGATTCAAGCTATTCTCCTGCCTCAGCCTCTCAAGTAGCTGGGATTACAGGCACGCACCACCAGGCCCAGCTAATTTTTGTATTTTTAGTAGAGACGGGGTTTCCCCATGTTGGCCAGGCTGGTCTTGAACTCCTCACCTCTGTTGATCCGCCCACCTTGGCCTCCCAAAGTGTTGGGATTACAGGCACGAACCACTGTGCCCAGCCCAAAATATAATTTCATATACATCACATTATAATTTTTTTTTTAGACTGCATTTATTTTTGTGTGAGTTTGGATGTAGGGCAATTCAAACTTTTATATACTACTATTGGCATACAAATTAATGTGATTACATTGTACAACAATTTAACATTATCTAATAATGTTGATCATGTGCCAACCCTGTGACCCAGGAATTCCATTTCCAGAGACATCTTAGCTCTTGCATTTCTGGTGACAAGTACACAATAAGCAAAGTAGCATTGTTAATTTTAAAAAATCACAATAGCATTGAAAATTTCAGAAAACTGAACTAATTAATGTTCACAAGAAGCAGAAAAATAAAGTGTGATCTACTCATTCATTGGAATAGTGACACACATATCAGATTGGCTTATTCCGAGAACAGTACTTAGAGAGAAAAAAAAGCAAATTAAATCAAAGAGAACCAACAGGATGAAAGATTTGCTCTATTAGACATCGAAACTTTATAACATACAGCAATTCAGACACATCTTGTTCTTGAAGATGGATAGTATGCTGGAGTCACCTTGCCTCAGCTTCTGGCTACGAAGTCTCCCCTGAACTCCTCACGAAGATGGGCTTTACAAATACAAACTAACCAATTCCCAAACAAATACTCTATAGGGCTGTCACACTCCAGGCCACTGTGCTTCTGTCCTAATCACGCTAGGGCCAAAAACCAGAGAACCAGGGACAGCTCTTATGCCCCAGAGCCCACTGAAATTATTCAAACGAGCCGGTCCTAAGCTTGTTTACCCTGCTTGGTTTCTTCCTGCAAACACCACAGTCTAGGGTCTTGCTCGTGAATTCCTCCCTCTCTCTGTTTCCTGATGGACCTGAGTTCTTCCCTGTAGTCTCCCCTGGCGTGACATGCTCCCTTCTCTTGGAAATTGTGAGTATCTTTTCAATGGCAATTGTCTTCCGATCTGTTTGCCTTACTATACCTTAGCTTTTCTATTAATATGCTATATATTAAAACAATATTTGATATAGGTGAAAAATTGAGAAAAGATATTCTAAAAGATGGTAAAGCAGAATCACACACAAAGAGTATGTGAAAAAGAATGAGGTAAATACAAATAGAATGACATGGCTAGTGTGTGTGGTTGGTGGGAAAATAAAGAGGGAAATGATGTGTTTTAAGTTTGAGGTTAGAAAATTAGAGTAAAATTGAGAAATACGGTTTTAAGTTCAAACTATTGAATCTATTAAATCTAGAAAAATCAACAATAAAGTATCTATTTAGAGTAATAACTAAATCTGCTTTTCCTTTTTTCAATTAAAATAGAAACAAATATTGTGGCATTATTTTTATTGTTGTAACAGTTTTGGGCTGCTTTTGAGTCTTTGTTTTGGGAAAGTTTTTATTTTTAGGTTATTTTTCTTTTGTGATATTCTAGACAACCTCTTGTATAAATGTTAAAATGTAATTTTACTACGTTTGAGGCATATTTTAATGTGCCCTAGTTATTAACAAATTTATTCAAGATTAAGTACTATATTTTTAACTTCTTAAAAAAATTAATTTCTTTCTATGCAATGATTGACCTTGAAAATACAAAAGTATGTACAGTATGCACATAATATTCATACTGAATCTAATTGTTTAACTGTTGTTTAATTCATTTAATCATTCATTTTTCAAGGGAACCATATTAAATAATTAGGTAAAAATTTATCAGCAGTCACTGTGTTTATTTGGTAATTTTGTATGCAAGATAGCACATTGCAGTCTTGAGGAAAGATATTTCCTTACTAAGATAGCTATTAATTCAAATTCTATATTGTTTTAAACAATAAAAATTCAAAATACGTGTTTTGATAAGAAAGGAATTTGAATTTGCCAATAGTTGCTTTCTCATTTAATTTTTAAAAAAGAAAGAAGTCCCTATCTTCGAATAGACAACTTTATTAAATCTGATGAATTTTTGTAAAGTCTGTTTAAGTTGTTTCTGCTTTGATTGGTTAAACAACTAACTTTTAAAACAATGTTAGAAACTAACATATTATATATATTTCAGGATATCTTATAATATTATTTTTCTATGTAACTGTACTTGTATCTATGTCTATATCTGTATCTGTATCTGTATCTGTATCTATCTATATCTGTATTTAGACAGAGTATCTACAAGAACAAGTAGGTGGGAGTTAGGTCCTAATCCAAGGATTTTCAGTCACTGATAAATACAGTTTTCTCACGGAAGTTTCGTATCTGACTGTCTCTCCACTGGAAATTTCTGTTGCTATTCAAATAGTTCTACAATTTGCCTCCAGAAAATATGTCAATAAGATTAAAAAGTCAACATTTCATAAATTGAAATTGCTATTTTGACCTCCTAAAAATATATAACTTTTATTAAAATGAATTACTATTAAAATACATTCCACATAGGTATGGTAATTGCTTTTATTAGAAAAGTTGAAAGAAGTGAGATAATCTGAGTAATATGGTTTACAACAGATATGTAAAAACAAAGAACACATATCTGTCATCTATATTTATTCAGTTTTATGTGTTATAATTAAATGAATTTGGGTCCTTGCTTCTCTCAATTATGACATAATAAATGATAGAAAATAGACATGTTTTTCCAGAAGTCATTTTATAAACATACTATTGAGTAACATTTAAAAATTAAAAGTAAAAATTAAATATTTATACTTTAATTTGGAGAAAAAAACTGCTATAAGCCTATTATTATAAATGCAAAGTAAGGAGAAGTGTTGAGTCCACTGGTTGCATCAAGAACTTTTTATCAAACTTAGAGGCACATAATCAGAAAAAGATATGTATATTTGTCCTAGAAATTAAGATTAAAATGTACATATCTAATGACATTGAGAGATAAGGAAAGGTAATGATCTATTAAAATAGTTTCCTGAAAGAGTATCAGCTAAAATCTTGACAAATTTGTATGCAGACTGAAATCCTAATCAAAGCATTAGTAAAAAGAAAAAGGTCCTTAAAATTTTCTGAAATTTTTATATGTGAATTATATTTTAAAGAAGCTCCATTTAAAATGCCCTCATGTTCAAAGTAAAAATCTATATTACAAATTGTGTAATATGTATTAATTTTAAATTTTATAAAAAATCAGTGAATTCTTTCAAGTTTTTCAAAGTGTTATGGTTAAGTCTAAATAGGAACTATACTTAAATTACTTTAGATTGTTTAGAATGAAAAATTATTTTTAATTTATCCAATGTTTATTTTATGTGTTCAGCATTCTGATGATTCTTTGAGAAGGAAAATAGTATAAATAGTTGAACATATTTAAAAACATCCACATTGATCACAATTATACATAATTTTTTAAAGTTCTTTTGATTTTTTGCTATGCTTTGTTAATTAATTGATTAATTGTACTGCAATTATAGCCATAATTGGAATAGGAACTGGACTGTATATAGTTTGACAGGTAGAGAAGTAATATTGTAAGATGAGAAGGAAAGGTAACAAATAGTTAAATGTGAGATAACTTGTATAATGGAATTTAAAAATTGTAATTAAATTTAGAAGTAAAATAAATGCTGACATAGATAAATGTGGTAAGAAACATAGAGCAATTTTCAGCAGTATGGACTTATCTTAAAACTGGCAAATGGATACCATCATTTTAAAACATTAATTAGAACTTTGGATCTGCTTTCCCCCATGCCCTATTAGTAGTAAATTCCTTATTGGCTCCCTTTTAGTATGTACATGCCAGTTTAATAATTTCAAAACCCCTGGAGTTTTTTTCATTTCAAACTTATTTTGATTGTTCTAAATGATAAGCAGAGAGAATCAGTCTTTCCTGGTTATTGCTTCCTTTTGTCACATGAGGTCTGTATCCAGAGCCACATATATTTTCTCGAGGTCTTCTTGGGGCACATTTGACCCTATGTCCTCCGCACATGAACAATAAAATTAGTTATCAACTAACATTCATATGACTTACCATGTTTCTCCAAATCATAGCCAGCCCGTGTGCCTGTACTTGAGTCAAGAGCCTCAGCACATCACCGGCTGAAGTTAATTTTAAGTGCAGGGCTTTTCCAAGCTGTGCAGCCTTGTTTGGTATGAAATTTCCACTTAATAAGGTTTTCTTAACTAGACTGTTTGAATACTTTTCCTCAGAGTTCTTGAACTCATTGTGCAAATTTTTCCACTTTTCATCTTCTATTAGGTCAGCGTACAATGCACTCACAAAATCAAAGTTTATTGTCACGTCTTAATTCTAGGATGGAATTCTAGGTGTCTGCCTTCTCTACATTTGCATAAAAAAAGAGGACATTTGGGGAAGACATAAATACAAACAAAAAACAAAACACAAAAGTTAAGTTAAAAATGATAACAATTTGCAAAAGTAGCTTATTTGAAAATAAAACTATAATTATTTAAGGATATTCTAAACCAATTTGCAATGTCAATTTGTTGAAGAAGACCATATTTTTATATATTAAGATTTATAGAAGTTAAAATTTTTATCTGAGCAATTCAATATATTTTTATGATAATAAATTATATAAATTCCAGCAGAAAATCATATTAGATGATTATGGTTTATTTAAGGATTCTAGTAAAATCTTTAACATAGAAAAATACTCATATTGGTATACGTACAGAACATAGTCATCTACCATTCATAGTTCAAGCTGGAGCTATTAAGAATATTAGATTGGATAACTCAATATCAACATTGATATCCATTGTAAATATATACAATAGAAGCCACTAATCTTACCAAAAAGATATAAAATTACTGAAATTTTTTACAAACAAGCTTTCATAATAATATTTATTTTCTGGGCTGTAGCATTAATTCTAAAAAATGACAAAAATTTGTAAGAAAACATATGACATAATTTTGACCTATTGAAATATTATTGAATGTGCTATTAATACAATAGTCATGAAAACCGTTATACAAAAACAAAGTGTTGTTCATGGCATTTACAGAGAACACATTGGTATGACTCCTTCAGGGTATTTATAATAAGTATGAAGCAAGATTTGACTGAGAATACTGAAGAAAACATTCACTTAATTTTTTGAAACAGCTCTGAATAGATGAATAGCATTTATTTAGGTTCTTTATTCTCTTTTGCTTCCTTTCTCCTTTCCTTCTTTTCTGTCATAGATGAGCCAGGCAAGTAACCCAAATGCATGATATGGACTAGGTGTAATAAAACTAAGCAGTGGAGAAATTGTGGTAAAATGAAGCATCTGAACTTTCTTGTGAAGATCAGCTTCTTAAGTCTATTCAGTGTAAACTGCCTCCACCTTATTTGATGTTTATCAAGATAAACCAAAAATACAAGATTGGAGAATTAAATATTGAAATAGTCAACTATGGGAATGTTCTCAATTAAAAAACAAGGAAGCAAGCAAACAAACAAACAAAAAACACATTGTGCTGGCCAACACTGTGAAAGCTAAAGTAACTCTGGAAATGTATTTGGATCAGTTACTGTAAATTTATAATTTTCCTTTAGGAAGTAGACAGTAGGATAAACCATTGAAATGTTTCTTTCTTGTTTTGATGTAGTTCCAATACTTACTAAATATGTGGCTTGGACATGTTAGCTTCTTTATTTTTAAAACAGAACAAAAATAGACATCATATTGATTTGAATACTAAATAGGATAGAAGTAATAAACCATATATGGCAATGCTTAGTACATTAGTAAACACTTGATAAATAAGTGGTAGCTATTATTATTGCTTGCCAAATAACTTTACAGAGGTGTCCAAAAATTCAAAATCCCACATGTCCTCAGAGTTATTTCTGCTTGCCAGGTGTCCCTGCTTAGAAATTAATAGGAAGTACACACCAAAATTTGACATTTAGATGTTTCATTCCACTTATTTGTCTTCTAGTTTAAAAATACTTATGAGAATTCTTTATATTTTTTAAAAAAATGTTAAATGATGAATAACAAAACAAAATAGAAAGCGTTATTTAATGAATTCAAATTCACAAAACCGCTTCTTATCCTAAAATATCTTAGATAGTTCTCATACTGCCCTCCTTAATAAACTCTACTTTCTTGCTCTGCAGATAATCACCTGCCTATGTTTCATTTATTTTTCCTGTGTTTCATGTTGATGATTCCTATGCATTTTTACTTTCTTCTACTATTCAATTATGAATTCTAAAATAAATGTGACATTTTTGCCTGTTTTTAACTCTAAATAGTTTTATAATTTCATTATACCATGACCTAATATTTGATTCAAACTTGAGTGGTTCGTAATATTAATTTGTATTAATTATCAGTGATGTACTATATCCCACTGTATAACAATAGCTTGAATTATATTTTGATTCTCTACTGATAGATATATAGGTCAAATCTAGGGTTTAAAGAAAATCCCAACACTGCTGCTATAAGCACTCTTACATGTTTCACTGTGTATGCATGTGTGAGAATTTTTCCACAATATATACTCAGAGGTACCCTTGCTGGATCAAGAGCAACTGTGCATTTTCACATTTTAGGTACTTCCAAGTTTTCTCCAAAGTGGTTGTACAGTGTATGTTTACCAGCACTGTAAATGTAAATGAAATATATCTTTATTACCCTTGGTATTATCACACATTTTCTTATTTACCAGTCTAATCACTGGTGAGATGGAATCAGGATTGATAAACCTATTCATGATTCCTCTTTTCTTTCTTCAAATTGCCTTATACTTAGGCTACTCTAATACTGGAATACTTTTCCTTATAATATCTTTCTTTATATTATCAACAGTTTTGAATGTTAATACTTTTTGCATTATAAACATCTTATTTTTTCTCCTATTAGCACTTTCCTATTTGTAATTGCATATTTTGAAGAATGGTGTTTTACACTTGTCATCAACTTAATATTTTTATTCAAGTTTAGCTCTTCTTTAATCATGTTTATATCATTTGTTAGCCTAAGCTGATAAATACTCTACTGGATTACCTTCTAGAAGTTTTTAAGCATTTATTTTCTATCTAGTTTTTTCAGATATCAAATAATCCCTCATATATTATACATTTCCCATGAAGTTTTTATTTACACTGGATGAATTTGTAGTTCTTTAACCATGTGAAACATTTCATTATGAAATATTTCAATAAAAATATGATGTATAACTTTTATCAATATGTTTTTGTTCATTCTTGCATATATTAGTTTTTTTGGCTATTAAATTTTCTAAGTGGAAACTTTTTGGTAAGATTTTTCTTTCTGGTTTAACTGGCTATCTGATCGAAAAACAACCAAAATATCTCCAGATGGATTAAAGAATTACACACAAAAATACAACTTTAGTGAAGTAGATCCATATGTTATCAAATAGCTTAAAACTAACTTTTGAAAAAAAAGTCAATGTGACTACTTAAAAATTTTGTTGGGCCGGGCGCGGTCGCTCACGCCTGTAATCCCAGCACTTTGGGAGGCCGAGGCGGGTGGATCATGAGGTCAGGAGATCGAGACCATCCTGGCTAACAAGGTGAAACCCCGTCTCTACTAAATATACAAAAAATTAGCCGGGCGCAGTGGCGGGCGCCTGTAGTCCCAGCTACTCGGGAGGCTGAGGCAGGAGAATGGCGTGAACCTGGGAAGCGGAGCTTGCAGTGAGCCGAGATTGCGCCACTGCAGTCCGCAGTCTGGCCTGGGCGACAGAGCGAGACTCCGTCTCAAAAAAAAAAAAAAAAAAAAAAAAAAAATTTTTGTTCAGATAATTGCAGGGATACCAGTTTGAAATAATCTAACTTAAAATCATACATTTATGTACATAAAAATAAATTTGGTATCAATGAAAACACTAAATCTAGAAAACAATCTAACTTCTGAAATTATTCTAAAATAGTATAAGAATATATTTTATACATGCTTGTAATGTAGGAAGGGCTCTTTAAAAGTGTGACACAATTCATAAAGGAAAAAATGTTTAAAGATAAATACTGATTAATTCACTATTAAGCCAGATTCAGGTAACCCTACTACTAATTTACACAATTACATAGTGAATCTTTGAGGCTTAGATGCTAATATATATGAAGTAACTAAAATAAAAACTAATAAATTCCTTGTAATTGGTTTGCATTTATTTCAGCAGAAATGATATATTACTATTTTATTTATAATTATAAAAGCATGTGTTAATTTTCAGTATGCTATTCTGTAAGTGAAAGTATGTTTGAAAATTGTAATGGTGGAGAAAAATTTAGCTGCACTCTACTTAAAACTAAACATACACACATTACAGATAGAGTCCAATGAGTTTTTAAGAAATTTATTGAGCTATAATTAACATATTAAAAGCCAAAAATATGTAAGATAAATTATTAGATATGCTCTGACATATTTATACATCCGTGAGATCATCATTATTGTCAAGATAGTGAACATATAAATCCACAAAATGTTTCCTCATGACTACTTTTAATAATCCCCTTTTGCAATTATTGTCTCTCCTAATAAGCATCTTAGCTAGACAACTGCTGACCATCTTTCAGTATTGTATATTACTGTATATTGTATATTGGTGCATCCAGAAGTTTTATATAAATGGAATCATATAAGGTGCACTATTTTTTGGCTGGCATTTTTGCTTTACAGCAAAATTCTTTTGAAATTCATTCATGTTGTTGCATGTGTCAGTAGTCGAACCTTTTCATTGCTGAGCAGAATTTTGCTGTACGTATATATCACCAATTACTTGTTAATGAATATGTGGGTCATGACCACATTTTAGCTATTAAAGAGAAAATGCCTATGAATATTTATATACAACAATTTCTTTTTCATTTTTCGAGGGGGAAATATCTAGAAGATAAATGACTAGATTAAGTGGTAAGCATAGGTTTACTTTTTTAAGAAGCTGTCAATCTATCTATTTTACAAAGTGGTTGTCAATCAAAAGTATATTAACGTTTCAGTTCCTCCATTTTGTTGCATATACCTGGTAGGGTCAATATTTTTTTTCACTTTGGACATTGTAATAACTATCAGTAGTATTTCTTTGTGGTTTTCAATTCTTTAATGACTACAGATGTTAAAATTTTTTGATATACTTATTTGTCATCCATGTCTTCTATCATGACGTCTTTTTCAATCTTTTGCCTTTTAAAAAATTGGGTGATTTGTTTTATTTTTGATTTTTGACAGCTTTTATATATTCTTTATGAAAGTAATTTATTAGTGTGTTGGGGCTCCTTATGACCACCCTTAGGCTCAAAGATTAACTATAATGATTCACAGGTCTTAGAAAACACATTACATTCATAGTTACAGTTTACTACAATGAAAAGATACAGATTAAAATCAACAAAGAAAAAAAGCCCATGGGGAGAAATGTAGAAGATATCAGGTACAAGCTTTCAGGTGTCCTCTCCCAGTGGAATCCCATAAGAACACACGTAATTCTCCCAGCAACAATATTTGACAGCATATTGAAGTGTTGTCAATCAGAGAAGCTCATTTAAGTTTTGGTCTCCAGGGCTTTTACTGGGCATCAGTCATGTAAGGTGGTGCCTATATGAGTGATTTCAGCTACTCAGACTACAGCATCTGTCAGAGAAAATATAGCCATTGACTCTAAATTATATTGTTAGGATAAGCTTATCTGTTCAAATGAGCACAGCATGGTCCAAGGCCTCAGACGCTGAAAACCACTTGTGCACTGTACTCTAAAGCCAAAGATGTATAGAAACACTGTCAACAGGCAGAATATATTAAGGGCCCACAGGTTATCTTCCAAAAGCCAGCCAAGTGCCAGTTCTAAAGACAAACATTAGTCCTGATGAGATAAACCTTTCTTGGCCAATAAGATATATGCTATTCAAATGTTTTCTCAGTTCATAGTTTTTAAAAAATTATTTTTAAATGCCCTTTTCCATTCCTATTAAGCATAGTATTGAAAGTTCTAGCCAAGGCAATCAGGCAAGAGAAAGCAATAAAGCGTATTCAAACAGGAAGAGAGGAAGTCAAATTGTCTCTGTTTGCAGATGACAAGATTGTATATTTAGAAAACCCCATCGTCTCAGCTTATCTCCTTAAGCTGATAAGCAACTTCAGCAAAATCTCAGGATTCAAAATCAATGTGCAAAAATAACAAGCATTCCTATACAACAACAACAGACAAACAGAGAGCCAAATCATGAGTGAACTCCTATTCACAATTGCTACAAAGAGAATAAAATACCTAGGAAAACAACTTACAAGGGATGTGAAGGATCTCCTCAAGGAGAACTACAAACCACTGTTCAAGGAAATAGGAGAGGACACAAACAAATGGCAAACTATTCCATGCTCATGGATAGGAAGAATCAATATGAAAATGTCCATACTGCTGAAGTAATTTATAAATTCAATGCTATCCCCATCAAACTACCATTGACTTTCTTCACAGAATTAGAAAAACCTACTTTAAATTTCATACAAAACCAAAAAAGAGGTTGTATAGCCAAGACAATCCTAAGCAAAAAGAACAAAGCTGGAAGTATCATGCGACCTGACTTTAAAATATACTGCAAGGCTACAGTAACCAAAACAGCATGGTACTGGTACCAAAACAGTTATGTAGACCAACAGAACAGAACAGAGGCCTAAGAAATAAAGCCACACATCTACAGCCATCTGATCTTTGACAAACCTGACAAAAACAAGCAATGGGGAAAGGATTCCCTATTTAATAAATGGTATTGGGAAAACTGGGTAGTGGAAAACTGAAACTGGATCCCTTCCTTACATCTTATACAAAAATTCACCCAAGATGGATTGAAGCCTTAAACATAAGACCTAAAACTATAAAAACCTTAGCAGAACACCTAGGCAATACCATTCAGGACATAGGCATGGACAAAAACTTCATGACTACAACATCAAATGCATTGGCAACAAAAGCCAAAATTGATGAATGGGATCTAATTAAATTAAAGAGCTTCTGCACAGCAAAATAAACTATCATCAGAGTGAACAGGCAACCTACAGAATGGGAGAAAATTTTTGCAATCTATCCATCTGACAAAGGGCTAATATCCAGAATCTACAAAGAACTTAAACAAATTTGCAAGAAAAAATACAAACAACCCCATCGAAAAGTGGTCAAAGGATATGAACAGACACTTCTCAAAAGAAGACATTTATGCGGCCAAAAAACATGTGAAAAAAAAGCTCATCATCATTCGTCATTAGGGAAATGCAAATCAAAACCACAATGAGATACCATCTCACTCTGGTTAGAATGGTGATCATTAAAAAGTCAGAAAACAACAGATGCTGGAGAGGATGTGGAGAAATAGGAACACTTTTACACTGTTGGTGAAAGTGTAAATTAGTTCAACCATTGTGGAAGACAGTGTGGTGATTCTTCAAGGATCTAGAACTAGAAATACCGTTTGACCCAGCAATCCCATTACTAAATAGAAAAAGGATTATGAATCATTCTAGTATAAAGACACATGCACACGTAGGTTTATTGCAGCACTGTTCACAATAGCAAAGACTTGGAACCAACACAAATGCCCATCAATCATAGACTGGATAAAGCAAATGTGGCACATATACACTATGGAACACTATGCAGCCATAAAAAAGGATGAGTTCATGTCCTTTGCAGGGACATGGATAAAGCTGGAAACGATCATTCTCAGCAAACTAACACAGGAACAGAAAACCAAACACCGCATGTTCTCACTCATAATTGGGAGCTGAAAAATTAGAACACATGGACACAGGGAAGGGAACATCACACACTGGGGCCTGTCAGGGGGTGGGGGGCTTGGGGAGGGATAGCATTAGGAGAAATACCTAAAATAGATGATGGGTTGAAGGGTGCAGCAAACCACCATGGCATGTATATACCTATGTAACAAACCTACACATTCTGCACATTCTGAACTTAAAGTATAATAATTTTTTAAAAAGAGTAAAAATTTTCACTTTTGAAGAAGTTCAAGTTAATATTTTATTTTACATATTAAATGTTTAATGTCATATACAGCACTTATTTGTTTCAACTAAGGTCACAAAGATTTATCTTATGTTTATATCTAAGATTTCAATACATTCAGGTTGGCTTTTTATTAATGTTTATATATTTTGCAAGCTATGAATCAAATTTGTTTTTCTATTGCTTATAAATACCCAACTGTTTTACATTTCTTGCTTTGAAAACTCTTCCATTTCTTCAAAGCTGATACTTTCCCTGATGAATTGACTTGCTATTTAAAAAAAAAGATTTTAACTATATGTATAAATCTGTTTTTGTATTTTCTATTCTGTTCTGTTGATCTATTTAGTCTTTCTTGAGGACAATATCACACAGTCTTGACTATTTCAAAATCATGAACATGGTATATCTCCCCAAATTTTATCTTTTATTTGAGATATCTGGAAAGCATATAGGTCTAGAAGTTGAAATTTGTTCTACCTATATTAGTTAGTCTTCAAGTAGAAATGATGATGGAAAAGATTGCAGTGATCAAAATTACCTAGGGAGAATGTATAGCATGAAAGAGTAATAAGCAGTTCATGCAGATCTCTGATTTAGCTTACACACCTAGAGGAAGATTAAATGAAGATCAATTTGCAAGTGAATTTAAACTTTTGTGACAAAATTTTAGGAGCAAAATTAGGACACCGTGGTGTTACAGAATCTAAAGAACTATTTTGAGCTGCTTTTGAAAAATAAACATAAAAGTTACCAATCTGTATGACTGACTTTTGCAACACTTTCTCATTGAAAACACATATTCTACAAAAAAACATTATTTTTGTAACCTTATCATTTGGGACTCACTTTATCTAGCAGATCTAAGTACTTATACGTTTTTACGTATGTTCCCATCTATAAATTATCTGTTATATTGTCAATGACATTTTCTTCTTCTAATAAAAGCATGCTCAATTTTAACTATTTGTCTTAACTTATTTTGGAGATTCAAGGTACATTTTGTTGTTGTTTTTATTATTTTATTTTATTTTACTTTAATTTCTGGGATACATATGCAGAATTTGCAGGTTTGTTACATAGGTATACATGTGCCATGGTGGTTTGCTGCCCCTATCAAACCATCATCTAGGTTTTAAGCTGCATGCATTAGATATCAGTCCTGATGCTCTCCCTCCCCTTTCCCCCCACGCCCCAACAGGCCCCACTGTGTGTTGTTCCCCTCCCTGTGTCAATGTGTTCTCGTTGATCAACTCTCACTTATGAGTGAGAACATGAGGTGTTTGGGTTTCTGTTCCTGTGTTAGTTTGATGAGGATGGTGGTTTCCATGTTCCTACAAAGGATATGATCTAGTTCTTTAGATGGCTGCATAGTATTCCATGGTGTATATGTACCACATTTTCTTTATCTAGTCTATCACTGATGGGCATTTGGGTTGGTTCCATGTCTTTGCTATAATAAGTAGTATAGCTGCTGCAATAAACATATGTGTGCATGTGTCTTCATAATAGAATGATTTATATTCCTTTGGGTATATACCAAGTAATGTGACTACTGGGTCATGGGATTTCTGATTCTAGATCCATGAGGAATCTCCACACTGTCTTCCACAATGGTCGAACTAATTTTCATTCCCACCAACAGTGATTCAAGGTATTTTTGATGGTTTCTTTGTTTGTCTATTTTGCCTTTCATTTGTTTTTGTAAAGGGAGAAAATTTTGGGCTTAGGGAATACCATAATGCTTTAAACTTCGAGCTATTTCTTCTTTTTTTTCTCAAATAATGTCATTTTGTCATAGATCTCTGAAAATGACCTTGAAAACTTCCCATAAAAATCAACAGAACTTACGATGTTCAGAGCATAAGAAATAAATGTCACCTTCAAGATTCATCAAAATGAGCTTAGATGAAATTTTAATTGCCATACTCAAGCCACTTAAATAGTTAACCAAGACATTCTCCCTTGTTTCTACAGTGATACATAGTATTGAAAATTGCTTTGACTGCACACTCAAATTATTACAATTCAACTTTCTTCAACATCATAAATTGAAAGGATATCATGTGGATCTTTGTTGTTCCCAATTAGGATTGAAAATAACTTCTGGCCAAATTAGTAGTGTAGAGACTTATGGAATGAAGTCAATTTAAAACAGAATTTTTTTGAGTTAATGGTAAGAAAGAGTTTGTTGCAATAAAATTCTTTGAAATTTTAGATATGAAATTGGTACAAAAACTTAATACAAATTCATCTACCTGATTTTTTGTGGCAATGTCATAAATAAAAGAAATATGGTCTCATCTTTCCTAAATATTTTGCTCATGCTCTTTGACAATACCGTAAAATGTACTTAAACTACATAAGAATCTTCCAGTAAAATAAAATGCAACATTTCACTCAGAAGTAAAACATTTTTAAAATAGTGTCCAACAATTGCTTCAAGAGGGTGACAACTTATGAACACCCTGCTCTAAGTGTTTCCACCCTAATTGGTTTCTTTCTTTTTTTTTTTTTTTTTTGAGACAAAACCTTGCTCTGTTACCCAAGCTGGAGTGCAGTGGTGTGACCTCGGCTCACTGCAACCTCCGCCTCCTGGGTCCAGCGGATTCTCCTGCCTCAGCCAACCAAGTAGCTGGGATTAGAAGCAACTGCCACAATGCCCAGTTAATTTTTGTGTTTTTTGTTTGTTTGTTTGTTTGCTTTAGTAGAAGTGGGTTTCACCATGTTGGCCAGGCTGGTCTCGAACTCCTGATTTCAAGTGATTGGACTCCCAAAGTGCTGGAATTACAGGCATAAGCCACCATGCCTGGCCTCCCCTAATTTGCTTCTTTAAACCTCTCTACATCATCACAAGATGGGTGTTACTATGATCACTATTTTACAGGTGAGCATATGCGGAACAGAGAGGTTAAGGAGGAACAGGGTGATCTGCTACAACTCTTCAGCAGGGCATTCTGGGCAGGACTGTCTAACTTGTGAGAGGCAAGGGGACTATTTATAGCCTATGTATTCCCGTTAAAGTAACAAACATATATCAAGAATAAATATTACAGTATATTTCTAGCAACCATCTAGAAATAGGAAATAGTATCAGTACCATATTGTCAGATGACAGTAGGATTAAATAAAACCGGAGTAACTAAGTAACTGACCCTTTATTCCCTGCATTTAAAAGAAAAGTATGTCTTGGAGTTGAATTAAGTAACCTGGGATAGATCTCTAAAAATCTGTAAGTGAAACAGGGGTCACATATTAACATGTTATACTAGAAACAGTGTCTAAGAGAGGAATTTGGCACTGGAATCTACATAGGGAACAATTAAATTATCCATAAATGTTTTTTACTTTATCTTGAAAAAGGTATAGTACCAAAAACTCCACAAACACTGCTAGACCCTCCATAATACGTGTGGGCTCTAAGATAAGAGTGGAAATAGAGGCCCACATAACATGTGTATAAATATTTTAACATTATAAAGCAAACTACTCCAATAATCTGGCCTGCATTTCCACCTAGGTTCTCAATGGCCCACTTCCTGACCACCACCCTCTGGAGTCCAAAGGAGATTTGCTTATTCCCAATGTTATTCCTGCAGGTCAGCCAAAGAGGAGCAAAGAGTCATCCACCTCAATCATGTTCAGGAAATGATCAGGTCAAGATGTGGAGTGAGCCAGCTTTTCTCTTTCGTGCCACATTTTCTGACCCAGCATTTCAAGGTACTTCTAATACACAAAGACTATTACAAGAGGGAGGAAAGAAGGAAGGTCAGTTATCTGAAGAACTGAGGCTAGCTAGAAGCCCAAATTTGGTGTGATGGGGGCCATCAAATCTCAACAGAAACAGCTTTCTCTCTCTGTTATCCTGGACAGGGCTTGTGATTTTTTTTTTTCCTCCACTCAGCCATAGACTCTCAGCTACATATCCTCTAGCCTGGAGTAGTCAAATCAGCTCATCTCTTTCTCTCTCATACCAAACTTTCAAAAACAAAACAAAACAAACCAAAAAACACTTTGTTATTGGAATAAATGAGAAAAATGTATTTGTGTTTAAATATCTGTGATACATGGACCATCAAAAGCCTCGCTGCTAATGAAGGCAATTATTTAGGTTTACTTAATCTATTAACTTATCAGTTAATAACTGCTATTTATTCTGCTAGAAATTCCCAATGGTATAATTGTTTCTGGCTGTAGCTCCTTCCATGCTTTGTACATCTTACTTGTGGTAGGCAGAATCACAGCTCTCCACAAATGATGTGATTTGGCTGTATCCCCACCCAAATCTCACCTTGAATTGTAATAATTCCATGTGAAGAATGGGGTCAGGTAGAGAGAATTTAATCATGGGGAAGGTTTATCCCATGCTGTTCTTGTGGTAGTAAATAAGTTTCACGAGATCTGCTGGGTTTATAAACGGGAGTTCTCCTGCACAAGCTCTCTTGCCTGCCACCACGTGGGATGCAACATTGCTTCTCATTCGCTTTCCACCATGATTTTGAGGGCTCACCAGCCATGTGGAACTATAAGTCAGTTAAACCTCTTTCTTTTATAAATTACCCAGTCTCAGCTGTGTCTTTATTAGCAGTGTGAGGACAAACTAATACAACGGGTGTCCACATTCTAGTCCCCAGAATTTGTGAATATGTTAGTTGCATGGCAAAGGAAAATTGAAATTGTAGACTAAACTAAGGTTGTTCGTCAGTTGATATTAAGATAGGAAAGTTATTCTGGATTATCCTGATGGGACCAAAATAATCAGAAGGACATTTACAAGTGGAAGGAGGCAGAAGAAGTTAGAGTGATGAGATGGGAACTCACAAACTGCCATTGCTGGCCCTTTAAAACAATTTAAATCTTGTTTTATGACACATAATTATTGTACATATTTATGGGATACAGTGTGATGTTTCAACACGTGTATGTATAGTTTAAATATTGAATCAGGATATTCAACATATTCTTCACTTCATACATCTTTGATATCTTTACGGTGAGAGAATTCAAAAATCCTCTCTTCTAGCTATTTTGAAATATACAATACAATATTGCTAACCATAGTCACCCTGACTCCATTCCTCATTTTAAAAATGGAGGAAGGGACAGTGATCAAAGGAGCAAGCAGCCTCTGGGCTGTGGAAAACCAAAGGAAACAAACTCTTCCCACAGACCCCCCCCCAAGAAAAAACCAACCCTGGCAGTATCTTGGTTTTACCATGGTGTGATCAAGTCAGATTTCTGTCTTACAGAACTGTAACATAATAAATCTGTATTGTTTAAGCTACTAAGTTTGAAGTAATTTTACTAAAACTTGAAAGGAATTTACATTTTGCTTTTAAAGTTCTTATTTTTGAAACTTTAGACAGAGATCAACAAATCCTCAACAAGAGATAGCTCAATTTTTACCTTTGCAAAAGGAA
Source organism: Homo sapiens (assembly GCF_000001405.40). Classification (NCBI taxonomy): domain Eukaryota; kingdom Metazoa; phylum Chordata; class Mammalia; order Primates; family Hominidae; genus Homo; species Homo sapiens. Next base: position 39,986,743 of record NC_000009.12, on the reverse strand, counting down.
TTATGTTACATATCTATGAGAATGAATAACTACAGCACAGAAAAATACTCATAAGTAATATATTATTTGAAATCAGGAGTCTAATAAGAGAAAATGCAAATGTACCCTTTTCTATAAGATTTAGATAAATTACATGAAAAAATATGTGTGATAAGAGGTATGTGTTCTGAGTTAATACATATAAAATCTGAAAAAATTGCAACAGGAACAATAAATATGGAAATTGAAATCACAAAAAAATCAATGAATTTGAAGACCATTTGGAGAAATGCTTATATCATCCTAAGATTAATTTATTCTAACCATGCACCAGTGATAGTATTATAAGAAGAAATAAATTCATTATCATTTTTTACTGTATTTATTTTTTAAGACAGAGATTGGTACTAATTCAGTAATGGAAAACTAATTGTAAAATTTGTACTGTGGTAAATTTGGAAAACAAGGCATGGCACAGAAAGAGTATATAATAAAATCATTTGGCATAAAGGCCATTTGAAATGGATTAATTATAGTGATGAAACATGTCATCATTTCCTGGACAAGTAGGGAAGATAGGCAATGAGAAGGCTATGGAGGAGAGAGAAGAGAGTAGAGTCCATAGAGTGACAGTCTTCAACAGGTTAAAAACCTGTACGAGTTCAGGTCTTGAACAAGCGATATTGGATGAAATGGGAGGTAGAGAGGACCAAAGAGTAGGATTTTTTTTTTTTTTTAATATTGAGAAACATTTGCTGTCTAAAATAGAGAAGAAATGTTATTAACATGCATGGTGGTCAAGAAACTGACAGGTAAGATTTGAAAGAGTTACCAGTTTGAGGTAAGCACAATAGAGAATAACGACAGAGTTTATAATGGAGAGAATGTCTTTGAAAGCCAAAAGCAAAAGTTGTCTTAATAGAGAAAGAAACCAAACAAAGGTTTGAAAAAGCATTTGAATGGAAAGTTTGGTGTAGACGTACGTTATGAACCATAAACTGTCAAAGTTTATTGGTGATGCTTGCTGGTTTATTTACTTGTTGGTTTTCAGAAGGAAAGAACTATAATAGACTGATAACTACAAATTAACTGAAATTGTATATACCCCGCCTCCTCATGATTAGGCAGGTGAAGATGGGGTGAGCAAAATAGTAGCAACCCATTGAAAGGGCTGTTGAAGGGGTTATATTTTCCAGACATATCAGGAGTTCAAGTTGTTATTAAAAATGCAAAAAGAGTTTGCTAATCAGAACATAAGCATTCAATATCTATCACTATCAAGTTGTGAGATAAGGGATAGGTAATTGATTCTGTTGGAAAAGCAGAGTCATACAATGATGACAGTCTGATAATACCTCTGTGACTTGAAAGTGACAGAAGTAAACAGGAACATGAAGCAAAGAGTTTTAGTTCTGATAGTCTCTTTGAGGAGGAGGAATAATGGCACTATTGTCATTTTTTGAATATTTCCCCTAGTATTTTTAGGGATTTCACAAATCGTTCTAATGCCTTAAAGGACTACCACTCTGGAACATCGCTCAAAGCAATGTTCTTGTGAGGATTAGGCTTAATGAAAAGTCCTGTAATGCTTGGACACATGGAAAGCTGACCAGTATTAGATAAAACAAAATTGTTATAGTTGGGAATTATTACTATACATATTTTCATCATCATTTTGCAACATTTATAATTTTTTCTTAATGAAATATGTTGATTTTTCAGTGTTTTTAAAGTAAAATTGTATTACATTTAAAAAATTAATAGAGAACTATTCTGTTGAAGACAATGAATGCATATTATGCTTAACATGTTAATATGTGTTTCACATTATTTATAGATTTTGTCTACTGCATTGAAATTTGCTAGAATGCTGCATATGTAGAGCTTAATGTAATCACTTCCTAACTATAATCTCTGGAGCCAACCCAGTTACAATAAAATTAACTCTAATTTTGTGTCTTTTATTTGTTTCTACTTCTAGGTTAAATGTGGTTTGAGAAAAGTGTTTTAGAAAACTTTGAAAAATCACTGGCTTGTTAGAATGCATGTTCTATTAAAAGATATGAGTCCTATCTCCAGGTTACTTAAAATATTAGTTTTACTCCAAATTGTATTCTAGTTTCCCTATCTTTAAAATATGTTCATGAAACATTTCTCTTCTCTTATGAAGTTAAATGTTCTTTTAAGTTTGAAATTTATTAGAGAACTCTGATATATGATTTTTAAAAAATAACACTCTGAATTACTTTCTAAAATGGAAAGCAACCCTAAAACAAAAAGATATTACCAATATTCAGTTTTACCTCTGGCTTCAACTTATTTTTCTCTCAAGATCTTATTATTCTGTTCTCCAGCTACCCAAGGTGCGAAAAAGAAAGAAGGCCAAAGGGAAGAAGGTGGTGCTGACCCTTGCGGTCTTGAAAAAGCAGGAGACCATGAAAGTGGTGAATCTTCCATTTGAGAAATTTGGCACTGGACAGGACATTTTGGCATTGGACAGAACATCCAGCCCAAAAGGGACCTCACTTGCTTTGTCAAATGGCCCCATTATACTAGGTTGCAGCAGCAGAGAGCCATCCTCTATAAGCAGCTAGAAGTGCCTTCTGTGATTAGTCAGTTCACCAGGGCCTTGGACCACCAAACAGCTGCTCAATGGGGTAAGCTGGCTGGCAAGTACAGACCAGAGACAAAGCAAGAGAAGCAGCAGAGACTGTTGGCCTGGGCTGAGAAGAAAGCAAAGGAGACATCCCCACTGAGAGATCACCTGTCCTTTTAATGGGGGTTAACGCTGTCACCACCTTAGCGGAGAAAAAGAAGGATCAGCTGGTGATGACTACACAGGACAGAGATCCCATTGAGTTGGTTGTCTTCCTGCCTGCCCTGTGTTGTAAACTGGGGGTTCCTTACTGCATTATCTAATGGAAGGCAAGCTTGAGACATCTAGGATTAAAAAACAAACAAACAAACAACAACTCTTAAAAATATTCTTTTAAGGTCTCTGGTTTTCCTAGGCAGAGGACCCTGCGGCCTTCCGCAGTGTTTGTGTCCCTGATTACTTGAGATTAGGGATTGGTGATGACTCTTAACGAGCATGCTGCCTTCAAGCATCTGTTTAACAAAGCACATCTTGCACCGCCCTTAATCCATTTAACCCTGAGTGGACACAGCACATGTTTCAGAGAGCACAGGGTTGGGGGTAAGGTCACAGATCAACAGGATCCCAAGGCAGAGGAATTTTTCTTAGTGCAGAACAAAATGAAAAGTCTCCCATGTCTACTTCTTTCTACACAGACACGGCAACCATCCGATTTCTCAATCTTTTCCCCACCTTTCCCGCCTTTCTATTCCACAAAGCCGCCATTGTCATCCTGGCCCGTTCTCAATGAGCTGTTGGGCACACCTCCCAGACCGGGTGGTGGCCGGGCAGAGGGGCTCCTCACTTCCCAGTAGGGGCGGCCGGGCAGAGGCGCCCCTCACCTCCCGGACGGGGCGGCTGGCCGGGCGGGGGTGCTGACCCCCCCCACCTCCCTCCCGGACGGGGCGGCTGGCCGGGCGGGGGGCTGACACCCCCACCTCCCTCCCGGACGGGGCGGCTGGCCGGGCAGAGGGGCTCCTCACTTCCCAGTAGGGGCGGCCGGGCAGAGGCGCTTGTTTATCTGCTGACCTTCCCTCCACTATTGTCCCATGACCCTGCCAAATCCCCCTCTGTGAGAAACACCCAAGAATTATCAATAAAAAAATTAAAAAAAAATAAAAAAATGCAGTCTCTAAATTTTGGGGGAGACTGATTTCAGTAATAAAACTCTAGTCTTCCAAAAAAAAAAAAAAAATTCTTTTAAAACTTCTAATTATTAGGTTTTTTTTTTTATCTCTTCAGTACATCAAAATGTCTGGTGGTAGGAAAATACTGGACTCATATATGACTGTCTACGTGATTTGCAGGGCCCAGTGCAAAATGAAGTGGATGTTGTACCTCGTTCAAAGTGTTAAGCGTTTCAAGATGGCAACAGCAGAGCATTAGGCCAAGTATGAGGTCATTATGTACATGGGTCCTTGTGTGACCACAGAGGTCACAGGAACATGAAGCTAGACCTGAGTGTATATTCAGATAGGTAAATCTTACAGATTTTTAAAACTCAATAAAAGAAAAACTACATTTCATGTGTGAACACAAAAATTGGAATTTAATTGGCAATAGCATTGGGATTTGTGCTCAGAGTCACAGTTTACATCTGACCACAATTTCTATATGAATTTTTTAAGATAAAACAGTAAGAATTTTAAAGAAGGTTTCTGAAATTTAAAAATTATAATAACATAATTAACTTTGATATTTTAATTCCATGTAATTTAAAACATTTAACAGATATATAATGTTCCACTATTAATTTAACTAGATGTATAAAAATAAAACATATATAATAAAAATATTCTACTTATTTTTAAATTATCTATATTATACTGAGTAAAAGAAAATTTAGGAATATAAATAAATGAGCATTTTTGAACATGTAAAAATATTTTCTTGCTGTTTTTAGGAGACTTTTAGCAGGACAGGAGCTTACCTCTCATCTACCTCTGCTTGGACAAACCAGTGATGTGATTTGCAAATAGGCTGTAACTTCACCGAAAACACATCACAGTAAAGAAAGGTAGTGACTTTCAGAGAATTTGACCTAACTTAGAATTTGTAAAAGAGAAAAGCATTGTCCTTATGCCTAAAGTACATGACTGTTTCTTTTTAAGTTACATGTATATTTACCTGACCAATTTGTTTTACTCTGTATTTTAAGTTATCAGGTGAAATGGTTTTGGAATAAATTAATGAGTTGTTTCTTCTGAATAAATGTGCATGTTACAAATGCAAACACGTGTATGTATTATACAACTATGCAGCTTCAAGAGCTGACTTATTTCTATCAGCTTTTTATTCCCTTAAAAAAATCAGGCTACTGAAGCATATTAGAATTTAATTACACCAATTAGTACTGCCACATCAGACATATGATGTGCCTTCAATTAAGAAGTACCTAATGGGTATTAGTACAATTTAGCTTCATAATTAAAGTTCTAAGAACAGCACAAATTAAACATTATGATTACAAAACATTAAAAATCTACTGGTGAAATTAAAGCTGAATATTTAACTTCTCCTTTTGAGCTGATTTTAAAAAAGAAAATCAGGATTATATAAAATGCAATGTTATTATTGAAGCATTCTGAATTTAAAAACAGAAATTAAGCTCACATGCCCATAAATATGTGCATATATAATGATTAAATATTTAGTAAAATACCCAACCTAACACTTGTGCCACCTAATAAGCATTAAAGGTTATCATTTTGGAGTTTCACTTGATTGGGTTTTGTTTTGTTTTGTTTTTTTCATAGAAATATTTGATATATGTGGTCACCACTCACAACTCTTGCTTCAGTGAGCATGGATGACAGGCAGCCCCAGCTACTGTTTTTCTGGTTGTATGACTATCTTTGCACTCAGACCATATTTTCTCTGGCTGTTCCTGGCCAATGACTGAGCATGCTCGGAGTATTGATGAAGGCCATTTTTAAGATTTGTGATAACCTTCCAACAGAAGACTTTGGACTGGAGACTCCTATTGTCCGGGCCAAAACTTCCTAAACTGTGTTTCAGGCTGTGACTCTTTCATTCTCATCCTTCTTCCCCTCCTTTGACAGAAGCCAGGCTTGCATCACTGAAGACTCCCTGCACTTAGATCTGCTTTTTCTTCTTAATCTTTAACTAACGTTCCTCTCATAACCTTTTGAGTGACTTATAATTGCATAGTATCAGCTTCTTGGAAAACCTGACTTGATAAACTATCCTATTTGAAATACAGATATATACGCATTTAACAATTTTTGACATTATTAGCACATTGAGTATTAAATAGTATCTGAAGAGAGATACCTTTAAAAATGAAAACACCTTCCTATTGGGGTTTTCTTCAAAACAAATAGATTATTTTTAAAAAGATTACAACTATAGCAACTTCAGTCTCTCCTGTTTTATCTACTAGAGTGATTTGCTTCCTCTGCCTTTCTTAAAGTGATTGGTTAAAATGTTTTAGCACTTAGCAGTTTCTTCCTAGTTTTGCAGCTATGGCCCTGAAATGGCTTATGAGTAAGGCAAATAGAAGATGTTCTTACTGGGCTAGTGCTTTTATTTCTCTCTTTCGCTTGTTCTATTTTTTAAGTGAAAATGGCATTAGCATCTTATTTGTCAGGCTTTCATTTTCGTGTTTGAGAATTCCACTTGTAGATAACCAATAGCTATAACCTGTTCAGGTCTTTAAAAAATATAGCTTATTGAATGAGCAGTCACACACAAGAAATTCCGTTCTTCCCATAGTCCATCATGCTTTACCCGTATTCAGCTTCTCACTTCTGTATCTAAAAACACTAGATTTTATCATTCTACTTTAAAGTTTCTTTTTTTTTTTTTTTTTTACTTTTCCTAAAATACTCAAATTTCCATAAAGGAACAAGGGATAAAGCTTAAGCATAACTTCAAAAGAGACATAAGCGGGGTGAACAAGATCCAGACACAGGCTCTCTTGATGTAAACATAGACCTTTAACCATGTGCAATCTGTCTATTAAGAAAATAGAGGACTCTAAACACAAAATTAAGAGTATAGTTGTCTCTGTGTGACTGAAAAAGAGTGAAAGATAACTGCAAAATTATTGATACTGTTCTTATGCTTAAATTGGGTTGTGTGCTTACATGTGTTCATTATGTTAATATGTCTCATAGGTTAGGTATCTTAATCAAATATGCAGTTATATAAATACAATACACTGAGATAAGATAACTAGCAACACATTGAAACAAAAAAACGAGAATAGGATTGAATACTGTCACGATCTTTACAAGGCCTGGCCTTTCACTATGTAAATAGATATCTTTTAGTCCAAGAAATCACAGAACTTACACATTTTTAGGAAAAGAAGAAAAAATTCATAGAATAAATTAATTTTATGTCCTGTAAGCAAAAGTCTACTAAGGTGAATTCATAATATCCCATAACAGCAAAAAAGAATGCATTCAGAAGTCCTAAATCTATAAACAATAAAAATAGTTAAGCACATAGAATTTACTTAAGTTCAAAAGCATCATGTTCATTAGACTTATATAATTCTTGTAGCATTTAGTACATCCTGGATAATTCTTATTCCCATTATTTATTGCTAAGCACATTGAAATTTCACATTAATAATATTATTATTTTTTAACTTTCATTTGTATTGTAACTGTTGGTTTTAACTGATGAAGATGCAAAACAAAAATAAACATTCAGGTAAATAACTATTGTCTAGAAAGATCCAACCTGTAAGCTAGCAATATGGTTTGATTCTTTCTTTTAAAGTTATGTTATTATAAGTATATAAGCAATTCAGATAATAGATCCTGGGTTATGATGCATATCCTATTTGCATAAGCTTAATATATTTTAAAGATAACCAAAAAAGATAATGTATAATTAAAACTATAAATAAACACATTACTCAACATAATTACTCCTTAAATATTCAGTCCATTTAATATAGGTCTTTGCTGCCGTAAATGAACTCCCATGAGCTTCTAGAGGACTCGTTTTATTAAATGTTATAGTCTCTGGCTCTGACCAATCATAGCGCTGTAGACACTGTTATAAACAATGTAATAAGCTGCTAAAAAAGCAAGAGGTATTTTTTATTTTTTTGTAATTTGATTTTATTATCATGTTTTCATACCCACACAAAATAATCAATACATTAACATACAACCATCACACATATTCAACAATTATCATAATTTTGTTGTTTCTGCTTAAGGTATCCCTGTTCTCTTCTTGCCAAATTATTTTAAAAATATATCTCAGAGTGTAATTTTATACCTACATACTTAAGGATACATCTCTAGAAAATGCAGATATTTAGTAATACATTTTTACACAGTTAATTTATTTTTCTTCAGGATCTCAATTCAAATATTGTTTGTTATTAAAAAACTGTCTCTAGCATATGTTTTACTATATATTTAAGAATATAATTTGGAAAAAAAAGTCTGACATATAGTCCATGTTCAATTTACCTCTTCAACTAATCTACTAAAAGGAAAAAAATGACACCAATACTTCTTACTCTTCCCTGAAGTTATGTTATGATATTTTTAGATTTTGAAATCCTGTAAAGTGTGCCCATTATTGGTTTCAAGTACATGTTTCCTAACTCATTTCAATCTCTTCTATAATCAAGTGCAAGAGAAAATATAAAATAGGCCCCATGATTGTAGAAATAAAAGTGGAAAAAACTAGCCTAGAGTTCATAAAAGTAGACATATAAAAATCTTAAAATGATAAAGGCCATAATCAATTAATTGAAATTAAAATTATTCCTTTGAGTTATTTTTGGGTATTCTTCCAATTTTAGTTTGTTTGTTTGTTTGTTTGATGTTGCAAATATCACAGTGTATGCCTTCTTTTTTTTTTTTTTTGAGACAGATTCTCACTCTGTCGCCCAGGCTAGAGTGCAGTGGCACGATCTCGGCTCACTGCAAGCTCCGCCTCCTGGGTTCACACCATTCTCCTGCTTCAGTCTCCCGAGTAGCTGGGACTACAGGCGCCCGCCACCACGCCCGGCTTATTTTTTGTATTTTTAGTAGAGATGGAGTTACACCGTGTTAGCCAGGATGGTCTCGATCTCCTGACCTCATGATCCGCCAGCCTCAGCCTCCCAAAGTGCTGGGATTACAGGTGTGAGCCACTGCGCCTGGCCAGTGTATGCCTTCTAAAAGCAGAGTCTGTAGTAAATATATATATAAATGGTAACACAAGCATATAAAATAAAATGTGGCAATTGCTATTCAATGAAAAATACAGGGACATTTGGGAGAGCATAACAAGGGAGTACATACGTGCTGAGATAAATACATTTTTGTTACATGAGTCAGGAGTTAAAGAAATAAATGAAAGATGAGAGATTAGGATATAGAGTATATAGGGTGCCAGTTCATATAACACTTTATATTAAAGGAATTTGAGCTTTTGGTTGAAACAATGGAAGCTATTGGGAGTTTTAAGGGGATTGATATGAAGGAGGTAAAATAGGAGTCTATAGCACTAATCTAAAGTGGTAAGTGAATGGAAGTCAAAGCTATTTAGTGGAGTAGGTTGAACCAAAATTGATGACTAAGTAGGTGGTATCTAAAGGAAAGGAAAAGTTTGAGTCTTGGGTATCTGGCATGCATAGTATACTAACAGTGATATACACAGTTACTTTCAGGCTCACTGAATGAGTAGTGGTCAATGAAACACAGAACAAAGTCATGCAATTCACTTTCAAGTTGTGTTCTTGAAACTTCCCATGGCACCCATGAAGATTTCAAGAGTCATTTGTTATTATATCCCATCTTGACTAATACCAAGTTGTTAGAAAAAAATGAAATACTATTGTAACAATAAGCTAAAATAAGTGGTATTGTCTTAACAATGAGAAAGAGCATGAGGAAACTTAAGATCATAGATGATGAAAACTGTTTCCCCTATCCCCACTCCCAAGAAGGGAGAGGTTGGGATTATACAAAGTGATTAATCTATGTGTTCTTCCCAGAAAAAAAAAAGGCAGAGTTTAATCAAATAACTTTTCCAACCTTTAGTATATGGTTCATTCAAACTGTCTGACCTGTAGTGTTTCAGAATTACCAATGGTCAGTGGTTTCTATGTACTACACCTTATATTTTGCCTTTCTAAATGGGCTATGAGCATTACATGTCTTAGCTCATTTATCTTTTAAATAACTTGAAGAAGCTAGTATTATTATAAGCTTGATTTTGCTGGTGAGAACATTGAGATGTAGAGATTCAGTGTAGCTAGTGTTTGGTATAACTATGATTTAAATTTAGTTCTGTCTTATTATAATATTAAACAAGTATGTGACTTCATAGTGTAATGAGTCTCATTCAAAACATACAGCAGTTGCAGCCTAACATCTTGTTACTTTAGGTGGTGACATAATGTATTGACTCATATTGAGCATTTCTAAGTGTAAGTTTTAAGTAGCTTTTTTTCTTTAGAAAGGTGCTGAAGATAATTCAAATACTTTTTTGCATATTATTTTGTGTCCCTGTAGATTGCTAGGACTATGAGGGCAGGGCCATATATATTGTGTTCATCTCTCTATATTCATTTTCTAATGCTGGTCCAAGAAACAGGTTGAGATGCTAAGTAGGGAGGCCATAGAAAACATCATTGAAAAGATAGCATTTATGCAAAAATTTAAAGGTGGTGAGGGATTAAACATGTAGATATCTGAAAGAAGGGAACCCAGGCAGAGGGAAAAGACGGTGCAAAAGCCCAAGACAGCCCCATATCTGGCTTGTTTGAAGGGGTTCAAGGAAACCAGTGTGGCTGGAGATGAGTGAGGAAGGGGAGTTAACGATGAGCACACAGAAGTAATTTGGGCCTTGATATACGTTTTTAATTTTTAAAAATATATATTATATTTAAATGACATAATAATTGTACATATTTACAGGGTATTTTAAAACTCACACTGCCTTAGAATTTTACCATCAATGAAAGAGAGGGTCACTACAGGTCCTAAGAAGAGAAGTGACACGCTCTTTTATGTAAAAAGGATGACTGTGGATATTGTGTTGGTAACTGACTGTAAGAGGACACTTTTAGGAAAAGTCCCCTCTTTAGATATTGACTTTATCCAAGAGGAAAACAGTAGTAATTCACACCTCAGTAGACATGGTGAGAAGTAGTTGATTCTACATATTATAAAGTCTTTGGGTTTAAGCAACCAGAGGAAGGACTTGCCATCAAATGAAATGGATAAGCATAAACAGGTTTGGTAGTAGCTGGGAGATGGAAATCAACAATTTCTCTTGAGTCATACTTTCTTTGAGATTTCCATTAGGTATCTGAAGTAATCAGAAACTAGCCAGGAAAACTGAAATCATTGAGAATTTAAAACAAAGGGAATTGATACAGGTAATTGATGGTAGAAATAACTTTAAAAAAATTAAAGCCAACCAGGGGACAGTGAGGCAACCTACAATTTAGCAACAATGGGAGGCTACTATCACCTTCCCTTGGAGAACAGGGATAGGAGGCTGTACTACTGGAGCTGCAGGGAGGGATATTTGGGGGAAGCTGGAACCACAGTGGGCCTATGTAAAGGAGCAGGAGCCTGTAAAAAATGTAACTGTTATTAGGGATGACAGGGAGAAAATGAGACAATATCTAGATTTCTCCTTGTTCCTGCCTTTCATCTTTCTACATGTGTCTCCTATTGTTTGAGCCTAACTGGAAGCCAGCTTTCAGAAAATCTGAGCTACATAATCCACAGTGTTCATCCCCTCTGTCTTATGAACTGAACTGGGCAGAGTGAGGAATGGGTCTCAGGAAAAATAGACCCATTATCATCACGACATTCAGGTGGAAGTGTAAAAAATGCAATTGGATTTATGCGTGTGGAATTTGGGATAGAGATATGGCATGGAAATATAAATTTGGGAGTCATTAGCATTTACACTGCATGTAAAACCACGAGATTGGATGAGATAACCAAGGAAAGAAGTACAGAGAAAGATGATGGTGGGGGGAAATAAAATACTGAGGCCTGGAGCATTCCAACATTGAGTCTGAGGAATAGAAGAAAACACTAAAAGAGAGAGAGAGAGAGAGAGGGAGACAGAGAGAGAGAGAAGTATACAAATAATATAAAACCAGGGAGTCAAATGAAGATAGTATTATGAGAATAATCTACTTCAAATGCTGCTGATAAATCAAGTAAGGTGAGAAAAATAACTATAAGATTAACAAAGTGGAGGACAGGTTTAATTAGAGTAGTGGGGGGCAAAAATCTGTATGGAAATGAAATGATTAAAGAGAAAATGCAAGGAGCAAATGACACGGTGACTATAAATTATCCTTTTAAAGAGTTTTGGTGAAAAAGGGATCAAATTCCCTGGTGGTATCTGACAATGAAAATGGGGAAAATGAAGAATACTGGTTGCTTATTTGCTTTTATTTTCTAGTATGACAGAAGTAATAGCTTATTTGTATGATCATGAAATGACCCAATAAAGAGGAAAATTTGATTATGTATAAGAGGGGTAAGTATTGAAAAGTATCTGTCTATAGCCTGTGTAGTCAGAAAGAGTTGATGAACAAGTAAAGGCGTAAGCTTGAGGTAGGTGTATAAACATTTCATTTCTGGCAGTGGTTTTCTTTAAGGAGAGATTTCACTCTGCAAGGAGCCAATTGGCAATGTTTGGAGATGTTTTCTGTTGTCACAACTTGTGAATGGAGTTACTACTAGCATCGAATTGGAGAGGCCAGGGATGTTGCTAAACATCCTGCAACATACAAGGCAACCTTTCCAACACCCCATCCCAAACATAGAATTATCTGGCTCAGTTTGTCCATAGTACCAGAGAAAAGACCCTGCTCTATTAATATGCAGGATGAGTAGTGTGTAATTTTAGATACTGGCGTTAAGTATATGTAGTAGTGGGAGTCTGCATACATTTCCTCTTGATTGTTATTTATCTATCTATGTATTTATTTTTTGACACAGGAAACAAGGTCATCAGCTGGCATTGAGATTGAAGAAAAGTATGTGAGGGGTGTGAAATGAGGAAAGAATCCATAAGTTAATCTTACATAAGAGGAAGAAGGCAATGGCTAACAAAAGAAAAATGGGCTTGTTTGGCCGCCTTAAAGGCACATTTGCTTTTCAAGGTTGTGGTTTTAAAGAGATAACAATCAACACAATTTTGTTGTGTGTTTTTCTCCCACTGCAGTTTGGGCATAAAAGCAATTCCAAAATTGATGGAGACATGCATGAAACTAAGGCTATCGTTTTGCTAAGTCAGTCATGTTTAGTAGATAGAAATTTATTTGATGACCAAGGATGGCACAAAATGTTTAAAAGACTGAATATGTGACATAATAAAGCACATTTATGAAACAGTAAATTGCTTTTCATAAAGGTGGATTATTTGATGTATCTTGAAGAAGAAATAACAACTGTGAATCAAATATTTATTTATGAAATTGGCAGAGAGTAAATGATTAAAGTTTTAATGATCAGATTGTCATTTTAGAGTAATTATCATTATACAACAGTGAAGAAAAGTTTGAAGAAGTTAAATTATAGAAAAAGGATGCTATTGTTTTAAATTAATGCACTGGTCTAGCTGTGATTTCATTAAGATGATTTCATAACTGTAACAGTAACAATAGGAATATTGAGGACAAGAATGTTGAGGACAGGAATTAAAGAGAAATTTATTGGTTGAAATAAATTAGGTTTTTAGATTCATTATGATTAATGTTTAAGAAGGAATATATAATTTCTAGTCAACATATAATAATGCAAATTTAACACATAAGAAATATTGATAGAAAAAGGGTTCTACCTTAAACATATTGCTAGACCATGTGAGAGAGTTCTGTAGAATAGATTCAAGAATGGTGTGGAAAGGGGTGGTACCTCCTGATCAATTTTCTCCCCTGATGGGGGCAGGTGTGGAGGAAAACTCCTGGGAAATAAAGAAGTCAGGTGTTCTGGTTTAATTTTTCTGCAAACATATTAATGCAAGTCTCTTAGAAAATAAACTAAATAGTTTTTGGTAGCCAAAGAATCATTCTTCATAAAATGTTTCTAGCAGACCATGCAGAGTTGTCTAAAATTGCTTATGAAAAATAAGCCAGGAATCAATAAATGTAGGGTGATGATTCCCAAGAAAATGTCACGTTAGCTGTGTTGCTATCTAAGTATAAAAGGAGATGGTTTGTAACTGAGAATACACCTGAGTAAGTAAAGCAACTGTACATTTTACTTAGAAACCAAATCTAGAAACTTGGATGAGACCACATTCAATGAAGATGAAAGGACACAGGTCTCTCCCCACTTAACCCATACATGATTATTTTATCTTTGAAATTATTCAGAAAGCATGATACTGAGCAAAATCTTCAATGTGAGTCCGATTTGACAATTCAATGCTTTTTGTGGGTTCAGATTGGCACTGAGAGCAGGATTGTCTTTTAGACCCACACACCAAAATAGTGAATGTTTTCTTTTTCTACCTGGGCTCCTTTTCAAAAGGAAATAATGGAAAAATATGAGAATTTGTTCTCAGGATAGTTGGCTGTACATTTTTGGTATGAGGTAGTGGAATCTTTGAGGCAGGTTAAGGGAAATAAGTCTTACCATTGAAATCTGGGGGCCATAGACTACAGTCTGGGAGTACGGGTCTAGGGAGTACATGGACAAAGGGAAATTGGGTGCAAATCCCATTGACTGACTCCTGCTAGCATACCTGTAAAAGCTAACCTTTTAATAGGTTAGTTTTTAATAGGAGGAGATGATAGTGGGAGAAAAAGCTGCGAGATTACATTTTATTCACTGGAAAACCTTCTTATCCCTCCCTGGTTTCTTGGAGAAATTTCATGTATCCTTAGAAATGACTCAAAATATTGATTATTGGACAAACTATTTATGTAACCGGAGTCCAAGGACAGGTGATGAGTGAAAACTATATTTTATTAAAGAACAGAGTATTCACTAACAGAAGACTGGTGAATTAACATTGGCATGGATTCTTCAAATTAATGATGGAGGACATGTTGCAATTCTATTATTATCTGATGCAAAGGACTATTCATGGTCATGGCTAATCATTAAATGGCTGTAAACTTTTGAGAAAACACTTCCAAATACTGTGACAGCATATCGGCTGCAGTTGTTAAGGTGAGATTTGTCAGTCCTATACTGAGAAGGGTAACTGCTACTACTCCTCTCCAAATTGCCAATTGGATTCTCCTTTTCACATGATAGGAATGATACAAGTGTAAATGTTGACAGGCTTTATATTTTCCAGAGAGAAAACACCTTAGTTAATGCTATTGATACAAATAATAAGAGATAGAGTGAATGGGATAAGCTAATGATTCTCTGTCTTACAAGACTTATATAACCTTGAGGGCCAAATATATATATTCAGAGAACAGTAACAAACATACAGGTTTAGTTACTATACATGGGATTATACGGAGAAAAAGCATTTATATCATGTGCACAACAGGGAGAAATTAAAAATCAGAAGAGAAAATAGAAAGGCAGCTCACTTGAATTAATTTACTTTTGAAGAAAATATAAATAGGATTTAAAAAGTAAGCCTTGATAGAATTTTTAATAAGAAAATAAAAGCACATTATCAACTTTTGAATCAGAGGAGAGGAGTACTGTAGCCCCCACCAATCCCTTAAAGAATCATAGAAAATTTGCTTTATTTATTGTGGCTGAAAGAGTTCAAATCCAATTATGAGGATAGTGATATAGAACAGAACATACTTGAACAGGGGGCTGAGTTTACTGCCTTAATTAAAGCCGTAGAATCTGAAAACAATTAAATAAAGAACTGAGGTCTGTTCATTCCAGCCCCAGTCATGGATCTGAGGCCATATATATAATTTGAACAAAGTTACCTGGGGTGGTATTCAAAGTTTCTTATCATTGGTAGGATGTAGAGCAGAATTTACAGTAGGCCTTATGGAAGGTAGGAAAGAGTCTCATACATGCTCTAAGTGAAATCTGGAGTGCATGAAGAGAACATCAGGGAGGAAACCAAGGTAAAGATGAAGTTACAGGTTGAAATGTGTGGTTGGAGAGAATATTACCTGCTTGTGCTACCTTTACATAAATACAAAATTGCAATTGTCATTCAGTATGAATGGGACATTGTCGTCTTTGTGTTTCCACAGAGGATGAAGACTGAGCTCACTCTTCACCAAATTTTAATCAGCTCTGCCAAATGGGATCCTTTGGAATTGCTCAAGCTCTCCACAGTAGTAAATATTAAGCAATGCAGAATTCCAAGGGCGCAATAAGAGACTACTGTTGTAATTAAGAAAATGGTTCAGAAGGAAGTTCCCCTCCCCACATTAACTTCCTTTTTGTAGTTCTAACTGGTCAATAAGTAGGTAGCCCCTGGACATTTACAGTAGAGTATCAAGGTGGTTCATTTGCGTGCTTCATCTGTACCTGATAGGATGAAGAATGTACAGAAAATAAAGTAGACAAGAGGCTCTGATATGTTATCAAGATTAACTACATAATTCATAGAGCTGAGTATAAAATGAAAATGCATGGATACTTACTCAAAAATTATTAAGAATTTCCAGATAGCTACAACAGAGCATTAAACCAATCTCAGGGGCCTCCTAAGAGTTTTTTTTTTTAAATTTCAAGTAGGAAAATTTTAAGCTTTGCAGAATAGAAACAAGTATATGTTTACTGTCTTATCATGGATTTTAAAAAAATTCATTATCACATTTCCATAATCTGGTAAAGAATAACCTAAAAGATAGAGTTCATCTACTACTTTCATGGTATGATGATAATTTTCTTCTCAGAGCAAAAATTAGGAGAGGAGTTAAGGACCATAGTCACCTGTATTACAAATAGAAGCTGGCTGATAAATCCAGCTAGAATTTAAGGCACAGCCCAAGGTGCAAATTAATTCCTGGAAATTAGTACAGATCAACTTAGGACATTCCTTAAACTCCAACTAAATCCTATAAATTAGTGCAGATCAACTTAGGACATTCCTTAAACTGTGAGAAGTAATTTATATTTCATAGGACCCACCAATAAGCAATAAACTCAGAGACTGTCAAGACTGTTCTAAGAATCTTGTCTACCCATACTCACAAAATAACTGGAAAGAGTTCAGAACGTGAATACAGCATTGTAGTACTTTCCTAGGGCTGCTGGAACAAATTACCACAGACTGGGTAGCTTAAAACAACTGAAATTTATTATTTCACAGTTCTGGAGGCTAGAAGTCTGAAGCCAAGGAGTCAATAGGGTCACGCTTCCTTGAAAAGCCACAGAAAAAAATCTTTTCTTGCCCCTGCCTAGGTTCTACTCTCTCCTACAAATTTTTGGAGCTTTATTACTTATAGATTTATTACTCCAATTTCTGCTTTCATTTTCAATCTCTTCTCCATGTGTCCTCTCTTCTTATAAAAACACCTCCAGTCATTGGAATTAGGACCCTCCTTAATCTAGTAGGAGCTCATCTTAACTAATTGTATGTGCAAATTTCTAAAGAAGGTCACCTTCTGAGATTCTGAATGAATAATAATTTCAGAAGAGCACTACTTAACTCACTGCAGGTACTGAACAGAAATAAGCATGAAAAGTATCGTGGTAGGTGGTAGCACAGGCAATAACATTAGGCCCTTATGATCCCATCCAACTGGTCAGATGATATTAGGGCATACCCAAACTAGAGCCCTTTAGGAAAAGTTAAATGAGACCACCAATTTAGACTCCTTAGGATTTTGACTCAAAATATGCCTGTGGCAGCTGTTTGCTATAATCCATTTGAAAGACACATGCTGTTGCACTGAATGACACAGCCAATGTCAACAGGAAGGACCAGCTACATAACTTCTGTAACCCAGTGAAAAATGAAAAGCAAGGCCCCTTGCTCAAAAATTATTAAGGGTTCATTTAGTGAAACCATTGCGTCCTGAGACTAATATGAGAAATAAATAACAAAATCCACTGTGCCTTACTAATATCAAGAGGTAATAATGAGGGAGTGAAGGAGAATGCAATAATATATAACTTTATATCTTTCCCACCTCTAATACTTTTATTTGGCCTCTAATGGCGGTCTCAAACCCAGTTTTAAATTTACTTGCACCAGAGGAAGATTATACAATACCCAAGACATGATATTTGTGTCATTTAATTTGACTGTGCCTTTTCTGAAAGGTAATTTGTGGTGGATCAAAAGTTCCTTCCTATGTAACCAATTAGGGCTAAAGGTGAAGGTAGCTCCATTATCAAGCAGAGGAGAGACTTCTGAGGTCCTTTGTCTGTCACTTATAACATTTGTTTGACAACAAACCCCATGACACAAGTTTACCTGTGTAACAAATCTGCACATGTACCCATGAACTTAAAATAAAAGTTAAACAAACAAACAAATAAAACCCAAACATTTGTTTGGGTGTGCTAGTAAGGTTCTTGTTATTGATTGTGCGGGCAAACATTATGCATGATGAGTTATACAGCCTGATATTGGGAGGAAGCATTTGGAAATAGGGTAAAATCATAGCAGATGGGAAAGGTGTTTATAAGTAGATTACATTACCGTGGAGGGAAGCCACTACAATATTTTCATGCAAACAGCTCAGAGTGAGGATATCATACTTAACTATCTTTTGCTATTGTCATCCAAACAAATGGGCTTTGTTGGTGAAAATCTCTTGGCCTGCTTACTGCAGAAAAGGAAAATTGGACTCCTACTGATTTGGATGTTCTACCTGTATAATTTGAATAAAACAGATGACAAAGTGCCCCCTGACAACTCAGCTTGTGTGTAGTTGACTACAGTTATCACTCAGTTTCTAGGCTTTGTTTACCATTCTAGATTATTTTTTTCCAGAGAAACTACCAATGAATTGTACAGAGCAGAGGATGCTGTAGAATAGAATTTCTGCACCCTATATGGCCATAAATCAAAATGATACATTGCTAAGACAGCTCCCTGGTTATGATAGAAAGCAGATAGTGGCTGCCTGTCTGGTATGTCACAGCTTGATCTGGTCTGTTGCTTTGAACATATCAGTGTGAATGTAAATGGAATTAATTTAAATAATATAAAACTAGAACCTAGAAAGCCTCAGAGAATGTGATTTTATGTTTGCTTTAATGCTTTAAAATTATAAATAACTCCCTCAAGAGGTAAGTAGAGGACATTTAAGGGAAGCCTATGGCACAGCCAGATAAAACGGTATCTGGTGCTAGGATATACCTAATTGAGAATTTCATGAAGCACATTATTTGTAGGTGTAGACAATGCTTTCAAACTAGACACATTTAATTAGCACATAATATGAACTACATGAGTGGCAAGTTAAGCAGCACTGGCCCCTTTGCCAGGCATTTTGAAAGAATTACAGGATTTGGTCATGTGATATTAAATCTAATTGAAGTAGTGTTCTAGGAGGCCCATCATTATGATAAAAATGACTTGCTACTTCAAATAGGGACACTAGAGGAAGCTGTTTTTAGAGGACTCAGTTGTAGTAGAAAATCAGTTTGGTTTAAGACAATGCTTGAACCGAAGACACTGAATAAATAATGACTTCCATGCTTATTAACAACACTAGGATTAACTTTGTACCTTTAGTCAGGAAGGACTATTGGATATATTAATCACTATGGGATATTATGTCTTTAATGTTGAGTTGCAGGAATTCATAAAGAAACAAGCTCAACGTCGGGCGCAGTGGCTCACACTTGTAAAATCCCAGCACTTAGGTAGGCTGAGGAGTGTGGATCACCTGAGGTCAGGAGTTCAAGACAAGCCTGGTCAATATGGCGAAACCCCGTCTCTACTAAAAATACAAAATTAGCCAGGCATGGTGGCAGGTGCTTGTAATCCCAGCTACTCGGGAGGCTAAGGCAGGAGAATTGCTTGAACCTGTGAGGTGAAGGTTGCAGTGAGCCGAGATTGTGCCACTGCACTCCAGCCAGGTGACAAGAGTGAAACCCTGTCAAAAAAAAAAAAAAGAAAGAAAAAGAAAAAGAGAGAGAGAGAGAGAGAGAAAGAAAAGGAGAAAGAGAGAAAGAAAGAGAAAGAAAGAAAGAAAAAGAAAGAAAGAAAGAAAGAAAGAGAAAGAAAGAAAAAGAAAGAATTTGAAGAAGTAAAATTATGGGAAAAACGTGTTTAGTCTAAGTTATGGCAAGGTTTCACTGAACACTGTGACCTTCAGTGTTGCTCCCTGACAACCCTGGTAATATGGATGAAAAAGAAGTTTATCTCCCGTGTGTGGAATTCATAGAAAGTGGATGAATAAAGAACAATCCTTTGACATATGTAGGCCATGGGGTGTGGATGGGCTCTTTGACATAATGACCCCTGAAAATTAGTGTTTGTACCAACCTGGAATATACCTAAAATACAGTTCATAGAAACAAATTTTTTTCAGAAAATTTGATTTGAGAAGAAAAAATATGTATTCAATTAAATACTCCCATAGGCCCATGGAAAATGATGCAAATAATTGAGGTTGATGGAGGAAAAAGGTAATTGAGTTTGTGAATGAACATCAAGAGACTTGTAAAGGAAGATGTTAATGAGTAACATGCTTTGTGGAGGGAATTCCTACTCTCTGTTGGATGGTTCAAATCAAGGTCAGAGTATTAGTTGGCTTAAGTGAAACACTGCAGAAAATGGTGTAAGACAATAATGATAATACACCAGCAATATTTGGCACTAAGATGTTGACCAAGGCCAGAGCAGATTGGGAAGGAAAGGGTCTTTGATTCTTTCTGATTACTGAGATGCCCTGCCAGGATCCACAGAAGGAAGGAAGCCCATTTTGCTTATATAAACATACTAATGACAGCTCCTGACAAACAATTTGTTTTTTTGCTGGCAGGAGAGTGATTATCTATCACAGAAATGCTTTTAGCAGAATGTACTTGGTCGTTTAGAATTGCTTATGGTTAACAAAGTAGAAGGTTGTGGATTTATGGGGCTCCCTGGAAAATGTCACATATACCACATATGTAACTATCTGCATAAAAATTAAGATATTTGATAATTGAGACAGGTATCTCCATGTAAATAAATTGTCTGCATACCTCTCTAGAAGTCTCATCTATCTGCCTGGGCAAGGGAGTATCTAATGACAGAACCAAGGATCTAAAGAATCAGATTAAGAGATCTAAATAATTCTCTGATTTGCCTATGCCTAATGATTACCTGAGTTCGTGAAATTACTAGTAAAGCTTTATATTTTGTAAGATCTTAGATTCTGATAAGTCTAATGTCACAATCCAATCAGTTTTTCCTATCTCAAGGAATCATGTCCATATAATGGAATTAATCCTGAAACTCTGAAAAGTTTTAATATTCTGGGGTCAGGGTAGATGAGAAGGAGTCTCCATATGACTTATAAACATGTAAGGAGAAATAGTAAAATTGTTGTAAAATTAAAAGAAGAACAGAAATTCATAAAATAAGCTATAACAATCAGGTTAAACAACAAAAACAAAAAGCAAAGCGTCTATCAGTAACATGATTGAATAGAAGAGCCGAGAGAGAGTTGTCAGTGGTAAAGGAATAAATATTATCTCATTTGATAGAGTGATTGTATTAGTCCATTTTAACACTGCTGATAAAGACATACCCACGACTGGACAACTTACAAAAGAAAAAGGTTTATTGGACATACAGTTCCACATGGCTGGGGAGGACTCACAATCATGGCAAAAAGGAGCAAGACACATCTTATGTGGGTGGCAGCAGGCAAAAAAAGAGCTTGTGCAGAGAAAATCCTGTTTTTAACACCACTAGATCTTGTGAGACCCATTCACTATTATGAGAACAGCATGGGAAAGACCTGCCCCCATGATTCAGTCTTCTCCCATCAGGTCCCTCCCACTACATACAGAAATTATGGGAGCTAGAAGATGAGATTTGGATGGGGACACAGAGCCAAACCATATCATTTCACTCCAGCCCCTCCCAAATCTCATATCTGCATGTTTCAAAACCAGTCATGCCTTCCCAACAGTCCCCCAAAATGTCAACTCTTTTTAGCATTAACTCAAAAGTCCACAGTCCAAAGTTTCATCTGAGACAAGGCAAGTCCCTTCCACCTATGACCCTGCAAAATCAAAATCAAGTTAGTTACTTCCTAGATACAATGGGGTTATAGGGGTACAGGGATTGGGTAAACGCAGCCATTGCAAATGGGAGAAATTGGCCAAAACAAAGAGGCTACAAGCCCCATGCAATTCTGAAATCCAGAAGGGCAGTCAAATCTAAAGCTCCTTTGACTCCATGTCTCACATCTAGGTCACGCTGAGGCAAGAGGTGGATACCCATGGTCTTGGGCAGTTCCACCCCTCTGGCTCTGCAGGGTACAGTCTCCCTCCTGGCTGCCTTCATGGGCTGGTGTTAAGTGTCTGCAGCTTTTCCACGCACACAGTGCAAGCTGTCAGTGGATCTACACTTCTGGGGTCTGGAAGACGGTGGCCCTCTTCTCACAGCTCCACTAGGTGGTGCCCCAGTAGGGATTCTGTGTGGGGGCTCCCTCCCCACATTTTCCTTCTGCACTGCCCTAGCAGAGGTTCTCCATGAGGACCCCACCTATGTGGCAAACTCCTGCCTCGGCATTCAGGCGTTTCCATACATCTTCTGAAATCTAGGCAGAGGTTCCCAAACCTCAATTCTTGACTTCTGTGCACTTGTAGGCTCAACACCACATGGGAGATGCCAAAGCTTGGGGCTTGCACCCTCTGAAGCCATAGCCTGAGCTCTATGTTGTCCCCTTTCAGCCATAGCTAGAGTTGCTGTGATGCAGGGGATGAAGTCCCTAGGCTGCACACAGCAAAGGAACCCTGGGCCCAGCCCACAAAACCACTTCTTCCTCCTAGGTCTCTGTGCCTGTGATGGGAGAGGCTGAGGTAAAGACCTTTGACATGTCCTGGAGACATTTTCCCCATTATCTTATGCAAATGTCCATAGCTGGCTTGGATTTCTCCTCAGAAAATGGGATTTTCTTTTCTATTGCATTGTCAGGCTGCAAATTTTCCAAATTTTTATGCTCTGCTTCCCTTATAAAACTGAACGCCCTCAACAGCACCGAATTCACATTTTAAGTGCTTTCCTGCTTAGAAATTTCTTCTGCCAGATACCCTAAATCATCTCTCTCAAGTTCAAAGTTCTACAAATCTATAGGGCCAGGCAAAATGCCACCAGTGTCTTTGCTAAAATGTAGCAAGATTCACCTTTACTCCGGTTCCCAACAAGTTCCTTATCACCAGCTGAGACCACTTCAGCCTGGATTTCATTGTCCATATCACTGTCAGCATTTTGTTCAAAGCCATTCAGCAAGTCTCTAGGAAGTTCCAAACTTGGCCACATTTTCCTGTCTTCTTCTGAGTCCTCCAAACTGTTCCAACCTCTGCTTGTTACACAGTTCCAATGTCGTTTCCATATTTTTGGATATGTTTCCACCAGCACCCCACTCTACTGGTAACAATTTACTGTATTAGTTCATTTTCATGCTGCTGATAAAAACATACCTGCAACTGGGCAATTTACGAAAGAAAGTGGTTTGTTGGACTTACAGTTCCACATGGCTGGAGAGGCATCATAATCGTGGTGGAAGGCAAGGAGTAAGCTACATCTTACATGGATGGCAGCAGGCAAAAAAGAGATTGTGTGGAGAAACTCCCATTTTTAACACCATCAGATCTCGTGAGATCCATTCACTATCATGGGAACAGCATGGGACATACGTGCCCTCATGATTCAGACATCTCCCACTGGATCCTTCCCATAACACGTGGAAATTATGGGAGCTACAAGATGAGATTTGGGTGAAGACACAGAACCAACCCATATCAGTGATTATTTAAGATTTTTTGCAGAAGCCTAACTGTTCAAGGAAGGTGTGTGATGGCAAAGAATAAAAGCTACAGATAATGACATGGCATCAGCTTGATTGGATCCATATTTTGTGGGATCTACAGCACATTCAATTTGGCGGTCAGGGTTTGGGGCTCTTTAAGCAAGAATGCAAAACTACAAACTCAAAACTGGAAACTCAAATGCAAATGAGGTGGCCGGAAATGTAAGCCTCATAACTTAGGATAAGAGAACAAAAGCTGATAAACATTTTCTATAAAGGGCACGATAGTAGATACTTTAGGCTTGCAGGCCATATTATTTGTGTTGTAAATATGCAACTTTGCCTTTGTAGTGCTTAAGCAGCTGTAGGCAATATGTAAAGGAATGTCTGTGGCTGAGTTCCTATAAAATTTTATTTATAAAAACCCGTGGCAGCCTGGCTTTGGCTCATTGGCTATAGTTTGCCTACCCCTGGCTTAATAAATCTGCCTCTATTCATAAGTAAGATTCTGCTTGTGTTTTGACTTTGCCATGTGCTCAGGGAAGGTAAGTAAAATTAAAATGTCTAGGAGAAGAAAGTGTAAATAACAACAAATTCCTGTTGGCAACGTATTTATGAATATGGAAGAAGAGATGCCCTCTTATCCTGTGAGATGGAAAGAAAAAAAGCCAAGAATAAATACAAATTAAAGCAAGCAAGTCTAAAATAAGAGAATTAACATTATTCTGGGAAGTAGAAGACAAAGTACTTCTGCTAGGAATGGGAAGACCAAATATGGACTGGAGTATTTGAAAACTCGGTGGATATTTGGAATATCTGTTGTGGACAAAAAAGAGACAGAAAAAAGGAAGAGATCAAAAAGTCAAG
The DNA here is from genome assembly GCF_000001405.40 of Homo sapiens. Taxonomy (NCBI): domain Eukaryota; kingdom Metazoa; phylum Chordata; class Mammalia; order Primates; family Hominidae; genus Homo; species Homo sapiens. The sequence continues at coordinate 39,962,426 of NC_000009.12, read as the reverse complement.
TAATTTGAAGTGATTATAGGGAAAAGTGATCTGGACACACAGTTTGTGTCATTCACAAAAGCATCTGACCAAGAGAGTAAACTCTGCCCTGTGGTCAACAGTTACTATTAAAATTTCATCATTCAGATTCAGGGCTTATTTCTAGTTGATACAAAAGTGGAACATTGCCCTACATAATGTTATACTTTTTGTTATTCAGAAATGTTGAAGTTTCTATGCATGAGGTTTTTGTTATTTGACATAATTATTTATTTCACTCATTGTGTTTATCTTATCCAGATTAGATAGAAATTAACCAATTTTAACTTTCTGTCTGTTCTGTATGTTTTAGTAACAAGTAATTCAGGAGTGCATGCAAATGCAACATGAAATGAACAGACGATAAAATAGAGTATATCTGCATAAAGACTTTTCATATGTTATAATAAACAGTATCAAAAACATTATTTGTCTTAAACTGTTTAAAAAATGCCAGTATAAGTCATTTTTAACCTAGTATCAAAATCGTAATCATGTGAAAAGTAAATATTTCTTTAAGTTTTGTAAAATATTTGATGTAGAATATTTAGCTCCAAATTAATTAGGAGAATTTCATAGTGTCTTATAATTAAGCTGCCCTTAAATACACCTGAACCTTCATGCAAACGTCTGTGGTTATTTGTCTCCACATGTTTCAGCAGATGAGGTGATTTGAATGCAGCAAAAAATTTAATAGCTTAAGTTGAAACAGGAATTATCCTAAGGGAATCTGTAGAAATGCATTCAAGAGCAGATGAGCTATATCTATTTCTTTCATGCTTTGGTGTAGTAAGTAATTGTTCATAGCCAAACGCTTTACGAAGATAAATGATTGATATAATGAATGACCCGAAGATGCCCAAGAGCACATGAAAACAGAAATGCCTTTGTTCTGAAGGAGAATGTCTTAGTATAGTTATAAATTGAATGTAAAAATTGTGGCTGAAATTATTCTAAAAATCACAAGAAGCTGCATTTAAACTGTGCTATGGCATCTATTCAAAAGATTTGAAACCATTTGTTTTCTGAATTGCACCCAACATAAAGCTTTCTCACACAGAACAAAACAGAAGTGAGCATCAGTCACACTTCCAACATGCATACATTTTGCTCTAAAGGAACAGCTGTTACTTGATGAAAAGTCGATGAAAGATGCCCAACATTTGTTTTTAAAAAGTTATCACCCAAACAAGAATTGTTTGGAACCAGATGCTAAAATCGAGAGTGGTCTGTTTATTTCAGTTCAGAGTGTTATAAAAATGTTAATAAGGTATTTTTATGTCTATTACCCAGCTATATTTGACTTTCTAATGTGCTTTTTGTTATAATTGGCTGTTGTTTCTATAGGCTGGCATTATTGGCATTAGATCACTGAAGAGTAAATAAAGTGAGCAAGAATACTCTCTTGTCACCAGATTACTGAGGTGTACTGGAGGTAGGTTGAATGGTTTTACAGATGAATTACAGTGAAAACTTTGAAACACTAATAATCTCTTCGGTGTTGAGAAATAACCTACTAATCATTAACTTAATAATTATCAGCTCAACCAGGAAACTACACCACCTAAAAGGTAGTTAATTTTATCACTCCTAGACATCTACAGGAGACCATGATTCTCCATTATGTGAATGCCTTGCTGCCCATGTGATGCCTGCACCCATCAATTCTAAGAAGCTTCAGTCATTTAGTACTTAATATGTAATTTTTAAAAATTACATAAGTAATACCTTCTCCTTATAGAGAACTGAAACTTTCAGAAACAGTTAAAGCCTAATTTGAATATTGCCAAAGCCCTGTCTCTTCTTCAGAGACAACCAGTGTTTCCAGTTTGGTGTGTATTTTCCCCAAATACAGTGAATGTGTGTATAAACACGTGTAGATTTACCTGTCCTAGATATGAGCATTTGCTTTGTGAGTCTGCTTTAAGTCAAGTTCTAAACTATGGCTCAGTTTAAAACTTATCTTTTTCTATTTAATAATATACCTTAGAAGTCATGCCATGATATTAAGATGAATAATAATGAAATTATTAATATTAGTCAAATTTAATTAGTTGCTTATTACGTAGTGGGTACTTGGTGTGATATATGGATTATCTCATTTAATCATCATGACAAGCTAATAAATTGGCAATGCTGTTATCTCCATTTTATGGAAGAGAGAAAAAGATTGTAAGTACTTTGCTCAAGGTCATTTAGAGGGAGAGCAAATTATTCAAATCCAGATATTCTGCTCTCAGAGATTGTATTATTAACTATTATGCCACAATAGAGGCATTGTAGTCTGCATGATAGTCCAACTATTTTTATTTGTAGTTATATATTGATGAATATCTAGAGTATTTTTAAAAATTACAACACAATACTGCAATTGACATTCTTGCATGATTATCTACCATGTATTTCCAAAAGTGGAAAGGCAAACATATGTGTTTAGTTTTTACAGAATGTAGACTATATAACAATTGTACTCCAAAGGAGATCTTGGTTATACATTGATACCAGCATAGTTTGAGCCTACCCTCTTCCCTGTACCCTCAAAACCCTTGTTAACATCTTATGTTTTGCCAGTCTGCTGAAGAAAAAATGGTATCCAATTGTTTAATTCAATTACTTGATTACTAGTGAAGTAAGAATTTTTTTATATTTATCATAATTTGTATTGCCTGTAATCTGAAAGGGTTATTCATATTTTTTTGCCTACTTTTCTATTAAGTCATGTCTCTCTAAGATCTAGCTTAAACGTTACTTTTTCCAAAAAACCTTCCCTGATCTCCCACAACTCAAAACATTATCTTCCTACTTTAGTTTCTTACAATATTTTATCTACATTTCTCTTATAACACCACTTTCTACTTTGTATGATTGTTATTTTAGTACTATCTAATCAGTCCTTTAATTTCCTTTGGGGACTATTTTATGGTGATTAATCCTTATGACACATATTGTCCACATTTTTTGGACAAAATTCTTCAATGAAGATTGATAATTAAAATTAATAAAAATTAAATTAATTAAAAATTTAATTAACTTAGCTTTTAATTTTTTAATTATCATATAGGCCACCTACTGAGATATACAATTTTTGGTCTAAAGTATTACTTTGAAACAATTATAAGAAAACAATTATAAGAAAAAAAATTTTTATTATTCTAAGATCCTTCGGATTGGAAAGTTGCTTGTTCTATATAACAAGATTTACTCTTTCCATATATTCTAGGATAAATTCATCATCTCTCTAAAAATTTCCTAATTTTTGTCATTCAGAAAAATAGCCAATTCCTGTCCTTCATTAAATTTTAATGAATAATCAGTCAATTATAAAACTCTTGAAAAATTCATATTAAAAAGGAAACATTTATATTATTAAAAAATAATAATTACAAAATGCCCATATAAATATTATTTAGGGCCAGGCACACTGGCTCACACCTGTAATCCCAGAACTTTGGGAGGCTGAGGTGGGCAAATCACTTGAGCCCAGGGTTTGAGACCGGCCTGGGCAACATGACAAAACCCTGTCTCTACAAAAAATTTAAATATTAATCAGATGCGGTGGTGTGCGCCTATAATCCCAGCTACTCAGGATGTTGAGGTGGGAGTGATGGGGTGGGAGTGAAAGGGAAGGGAGGCAGGGAAATTCTGGGCAAAAGAGGGCAGGTCCCTGGCAACGGCTCCACCCTCAAGCCTGGAACCAAAGCCCAAAGTGAGAACATACATTCCTGTTTTCCCACTCAAATGTTGCCTTTTACAAAATTACCCATGACCTCCCCTGTCCCCCATCCTGTGCCCATAAAAACCCCAGACTCAGCTAGCAAAAAAGAGAAGCAGCTGAACATCAAAAGAGAAGCAGCAGCTGGGCATCAGAGACTACGGTTGGACGTTGGAGAGAAGCAGCTTGATTTCAGAGAGACAGCTTGACAGTGCAACTTTGGAGAAGAGTCCAGCCAGAAACCTTCCTGCTACATCTCCTTCCCAGCTGCCCTTCCTGCTGAGAGCCACTTTCCTTGGCAATAAAATCCTCTGCATTTACCATCCTTCAATTCGTTTCTGTGAGCTGATTTTTTCCTGGATGCCAAACAAGAGCTCAGGAGTGAGTGTGGATACAAAAAGGCATGCTGAGCTGCTAACACTTCAGCTGTCTGAAGACGGCAGAGCTAAAGGAGCACTGTAATATGCCCACTGGGGCTTCAGGAATCACAGGCACCCCCCTAACCCCAGGGGCTGCTATGGGGCCCACATGGAGTTTGCTCCTGCCAACACCCCAAAGCTCTCTTCCTGGCTCCTGTACCTGCTCACCTGCATGCTCTCTCCTGCAAGAGGTGGAACACAGCAGGTCAGAGTGGGTGAGTTCACTCCTTCTGGCACCAAAGAGGCCACTGGTTCCAGCACTCGTGTACTCCAGTTCCTGCCTTGTTCAATTGCGCACTCCCTCCCTTGAGGAGTTGAGAGCAGTGGGCTGAGTAAATGGGGCACCCCTGTCACGAGTCCCATGAAGGGGTCAGGGAAATGCCCTGCTTCAGGAGGATCTCTTGAGCCCAGGAGGTGAAGGATGCACTGAGCCAAGATCGTGCAACTGAACTCTGGCCTGGGTGACAGAGTGAGACTCTGTCTCAAAATAAATAAATAAATAATTTAATTAATTAAATTTAGCTTATTCTTTTGAACTTCATTCTTCATAGTGTTATAAAATACATGATTTAAGACAGTGAGAAAGAGAGAGAAGCCAATGATGGACTTCTAATAGAATTCAGAGTGGGACTTGTTTGAACATTTCAACCAAATAAAAGATTCCTGCAATTAGTTGACTCTTCAGTCCACCTCAGTTTTAAACATGTCTCAGGTTGCCCTTAACCAACGAGTATAGTTTACTTTGGGCTGATAAATTCTGTGGATGGCAAGAGGTTGTGAATATCCCTTTATAAACCCAGAACTAATGCTACATATCCCTGGCATTAGTGCCTTATTTATCTAAACTTACAAATATATTGGGCAAAATTCCGGGATATGGGCACAGAATTAATAATTGAATACCTTATTTTGTATGGTCATTTGCTCACTGACAAAGATAGAGAAGCAGCTGAAATTCATGATTATGATCCCTAGTTACATCTCTCTTTAAGTCCTTATGTTTGGTTCCCTGGGAGTTTCAGCGCATTTATATAGCAGCACCCAAGTTTTTATAATCTGTTAAGTATTACTATCTAGGATTAGCTACTGAAGAATCAAGAACTGGTAGTTGATGAACTTGAAAGACAATTATCCTATATAGTGTTTCTTGAGGACACTAATTTCTTAAGATAGAATGAGAGGAAAACATAATATCCACAAACAGAAATAAATTTTGGAATATTATATGCTTTAGCTTCCTCTTGGATATTTACAAAAATATTAGCATATTAACGATTACAGAATGAAGAAACCTTTTTAGCTACATTTAAACTAGTCCTAGAGTTTGGATATATTTCCTCCAAATTCATGTTTAAGTTTAATCCTCAAAGTGATGAGGAAGTGGGGCCTTTGGAGGCAATTAAGTCATGATGGCTATGCACTCATGAATGAGATTAATATCCTAATTAAGGAAGCTTCTGAGAGCTTCCTGGCTCTTCCATTTCTTCTGCCATGTGACAACATGGCATTTGTCCATTTTGTCCCTTTGCTTTTCCTACCATGTGATTAAGTCATGCAAAATGACATCTGTGAAACAGGCCCTCATCAGACAATGAATATGTTGGTGCCATAATCTTGAACTTCCCAACTCCTGAACTTTCAGAAATACATTTCTGTAATCATAAATTACCCAGTTTGTGGTATTTGTTATAAGACCAGGAACAGACTAAAACAGCAAATGCTTTCCCCCATCCCTGACTACTTTCAGAATGTTTAAGAGTTGTCCATACCGTTTCTTATGGCAATTATGAGGCAGATATTTTTCAGGAAAGTGGCATGCATATATGTGAATTTTTTTAGAGGAGTTGAAAAACAAAACAAAACACTTGTTTGGCAATGTTCATTCCTCACAGAATCAGTGCTATTCATTTTGGAAAATATCTTAGTATCCTGCTTGTTGCCTTATTAGTTGTTTTTCTCTCATTGCAATCAGCTGTTGCCATGTACCTTTTGCATTTGGTGGTCAGGGTCTTCGGAATCGTATGAATCTGATATCAAATCCCAGTTGTATTGCTGACTAGCTGTGAAAAAAGATTTTAAACTTATTATTTTCAGTTTACTCGTTTATTAAGTACCAATATTAATATTGAAACTAGAGAAATAGATTAAATGGCATACTTGTATAGTAATTGTTACATAGGAAAACTCTCAATAAATCAATGCTGTTATTATTACCATTAATATTCCCTAGATGTGAAGATTGTCTTCAGAGGAAACATACTGGAAAAAAAAAATGAGTTTTACAGAAGTTTTTCAGCAGAAGTTGATTGGTTTTACATACACACACACACACACATGCACATATATTTACACACATATAAATATGTATATTTTATATATATATATGCACACACATTTGTTTCTATTTAAAATGAAAAAAGTACGTTAGTCATGTGTGCCCAATTTTCTGATACACTAAAAAATGGAAATATCTTGGCAGACACTATTGATAGGCTATGCAAATGTAAACTTCTCTTGCCTAGTTTTTTATTTGGAAAGTAAAATATCCATGTTTCTTGGTGTGGCCATGTGAATTTTGTGACATTGAAATGGATATCATAAGATAGGTTCCTAAGAAAGCCTTTAAAAAAGCACAAACTTGGCCTGCATGGCTTTGGCCTTTTGCCCCTTTGCCCTTTGCTGCTTCAGCCTTTCCTATTTTTCTTGGCTGCAATATGAGCAATCATGTCTCAGGGTGCTACAGGCATCAAGCTATCTTATATCATACCTCTTTCTAAGGAAATGCTATTAATGTCCCTGCATGTGTATAACAAATCTTCAGCGTCCCTGTGAGGCTGCTCTTCTTATCCTGTCCTGGCTTGTACTTTCTTTTGTAGAAGTAAGTAAACATCTTGCCTGTGAAAACTGCTTTTAGTTGCACCCTGTATTCCTTATAGCTAAACCCTATCTACCTGAAACCTATATTGATACTTAAGCCATATATTTAGTTTGGAGACCAGATTAAATTTAGAGTTCCATTAATTCCATAATAAATATTTTTGAGTGGCTAGTATGGGTAATGTGATATTTAAGCTACTGGTATAGTGTGGTAAACTGAAGATATGACCTGAAATGTTTGTAACTTATATGATAATAAGTGGAGAGAGCTGAAAATTAGGTAAATAAATAGATAACCACAGATTTTGATCTGTTATACAAATACGATAAATATGGCAGAAAGGACTGTAAGCTAAGGAGTAGAGTAAGAGAAAGCAATTATAAAGATTGGCAACTAAATGTTATCTAACAAGTGATACTTAAAGGCTGAGATACTTTAAACTATAAGACACAGTTTTGTAAAAATCTTGGAAATTGTGTTTTTTAAGTTAATGGTGCAATTTATCTAATGTGTAAATACAAGTGCTGGTTTGTTGAAGGAGCAGAAAAAAAAAGATTAGTTTGAGTATGGGGAAAGAGAAGGAGATTGGAGAGAGGTTTAAGAACTAAGCATATGCCAGTTTATATAGAGTTTATGTAACAAAGAAGAGATTTTTTGTGCATCAGGTTGTATTGTTGCATAATACTATACCCCAAACTTACTGGTATAAAATAGTAAACTTGTATTATGCTCACAGGTTCTGTGGGTCAGGAATTTAGAAACAGGCACAGTGGGCATGCCCCTTTTCTGCACCTCAATGATGAGGCCTCAGCTGGGAAGATTTACATGTCTGGATGCAACTCAAATAGCTGAGGGCTAGGACAGCTTGGACTGGAGTGTCCACTTCCAAAATTGCTTTTTATGCCCATATCTGGCACTTGGCCTTGTGTATTTGAAGCTAGGAATGAACTGGGATTGTCAACCAGAACTCCTATTCGTGGTCTATCCTCATGGTTTGGGTTTCTCCCAGCCTGGCAATACTGGGGCCCTCCTGAGATGGAGGAGTCTGAAAAAAAGTGAGCAGAAGTCAGATTGTCGATTTAGGCCAGGTCTCAAAAGTTACACAGCATTGATTTTTTTTGTATTCTCTTAGTCAAAGAAGTTAAAAGTCCTCCCAGATTCAAGGTCAGAGACCCCAGTCCCCACATCTCAATGAAATGACAGTTGAAGAACTCTGAGGAGATATTTTATAACCATTACATTATATCAAATGAAAAAAGGTGATTTTTTAATGTCATTTAATTTGTCCCACAATATTGACTTTTTACTCTTCTCCATGTCCTGATACTCATAATATTCCTCATTTTTCTCCATTAAACTCCATCTTTCAGGGACACTTCTAATACATTATTTTATACTAAATTGTAAACTAGAATTAATTTTTGAAGTATTGCCACTTGCAGGGGGATGTATATTTAATTTACGGAATTATAAATCTAGACAATAATGTACATTGTTAGGATTTTCTATCAGAATTATTTTAATTAATAAATGTTACCTTTAAATTTTTTTAAATCATCCTTTTTTAAGCATTTATTCAGTCGGGACTTTCAGTTCATGTACTTTCCTCTAAATTAAAATCAGATATCATTTGTAGAATTTTATGCAATGACTAAGATGGTTTTTTGGGAGATGATATTTATTACCAAATTTTCTGAAAATATGTAGTATTTGCATTATGTCATGATTTCTTATATTACAATAGTTTTTTTAAAAAAATTTCAATAACATTAAAATTATTTCTAAATACATCTTAATTTAAAGTAGTTAATTTTAAAATATTTAGTCATTTACTTATAGAATTTAATTTAAATTACCGAGGTGTGTGCATGAGATCAAATAATTATTCCACATTTGCAGTATTTCACAGTGTTTTGTTCTATTTATAATTCGTGTTCCTTCTATGTGTGGAAAAAAAAATAAGGCTTGTCATGTTCATAACAAAATGTTAAAACCTTTAAGAAAGAATGGAAACTACAACAGAATATTTCTAATTTCAGTTGTACTCCATGTCTGCCATTATACAGATTGTTTAGAGAATCTCCCAAATTACATTCCATATAAAAAGAAATTGAGTGTCAGTGTATCAAACAGAACCATTTTAAACAGTCATGCGAGATGGACAGAGGAGGTATAATAATATGGGCCCTGAAGTGTTACAGTATGATAGAGTCATAGTTTTATGATAGTTTTTTTTCACTTTAATTTCCAGGAACAATCATGAAGTTTAAGAAGAAAGAATACTGTCAGAAAAGAGGCAATTTTTTTTATATTTAAAAAGTTCCCTTTTTCCAGTCTATTCATTTTTATGCATCAACTCTCATTTTATCTTGACAATTTCATAATAACTATATTTACCTTTATTTTTTATCCATATGCATTTCATTTAAAAGTGAAAACTTTCACTCAAAATGTAAAAAGAACTTATAGAATTTGCCTCCAAAGAGCTCTACTAGTCTGTCTTTCCTATTTCATCCAATGTTACGACTACAATTCCCATCTATCAAACACAGCAGTCAATTGGTAAGTCATTTATGTCTCTTTTTATACTATTTTTCATGAAGTTTCTTTATTTTCCAGTTCTATTGTATGTCACCTCAAATATCCATACAACACATTATTTTAATCTCCTTCCCTCTAAGCATTCCTGTTCCACTTAATCTAACACAATGTTCTCAAAGATATGACAAAGTGCAACTCTGTTAAAAAAGCTTCAAAGACTTTCCACTGAACTGAACAGAATTAGAATAGATGATTATTTCAGTCATGTGTTGGTATATAACAAAATACCCCAATCACCTATTCTTCCTCCTCTTAAAGTCAATGTATTATTAAAACGTCCAACTTCCTTTTATGAAATATTTCACACATACCCAAAACTGAAAAATAATTGATACAGCAACATAACCAGAAACAAGATTATAAGAAATTCTACAAGGGATAACTACAGGCTAAAATTGTTTAGCATCCCCTTGTATATTTCTCTATTTTTAAGTACAGGTCTGTGTATAGAATATTTTATACCGTATATGGTAGTGTTTGTATCTTCAAATTTAAATAAGATGTTATTGTTTTCTCTGTATTATTTCAACACATGCTTTATAATCTCACTATGATATTTTTGAGAACCATTCCAGCTGATACTTGGGTATCTGTTTTTGTTTAATTTCTATATGGGATTTCATTATATATATAATATAAAGCTATCAATTTTCATATCAGGAAATATTGGCATTTTTATATTTACCATTGTAAATGTTAAAAACAAAGCTACAATAAATACTTATTGTTTTGTTGTTTATATATATTAGAATTTTCATAGGATACACATAGAGCAGGGAAATTTTACAACTTTGGGCACTTTCATCCTTACATTGTCAAGTAGCTTTCCAAAGTCGTTGTATGAATTTATCTTCCCACTATATAATTGTTAGAGTTCCTGTTTTCTAATAGCCTCATCAAAGAGGAGAATTTCTCAAGTATTAAGCAGTAAAGTAAAAAAAAAGTCATCGTTCTACAAATTCAATTTTACTAAATAAAATATATTTTATATTTTCTTTAAAAGTGATACAAGATGTCTTTCACATTTGAAGTTAATGTGATGATAGAATACAATTTACAATTTTTCTATATGTTAATCAAATGTATCACTGCTATTTTATGAATAGTTATTCATTTTTCTGGGTGATACGACAATTCATATGTAAAATATCGAAAGTCTACCATGAATTTTTGAATTTCCTGCTATAGTCCAGTGAACAAATTGTTCATCTCTGAGTCAATGCCGCACTATCATAATGACTATAATTCATAATCAATTCTTATTGAATATCTGCTCAGTGCCAGTATATGAGTTTGCTGGATCTGTTATGACAAATTACCACAAACCTAAATGTTTAAAGCAAAAGAAATATATTCTCTTACAGTTCTGTAGGGCAGAAATCTGAAATAAAGGTATAGATAGGCCCACTTTCCTTCTCAAGTGTTTATGGGTGGATCCTACTTTACCTCTTTCAGCTGCTGGTGGCTCAAGGCATTCTTTGGTTTGTAGCTGCATAACTCCAATCTCTGCTTCCATCCTCAAGTAGCCTTCTTCTATTTCCTGTATCTTCTCCTCTTCTGTCTTTCATAAGAACACTTATTGGATTTAGGGTGCACTAGGATCATCCAGTATGACGTCATCTCAAGATCCTTATTAATATATACAAAAAAATTAGGTCACATCTACAGTTTCTGTGGGCTAGCATATGGAAAGATATGTGCATATTTATCATATTTTGGGAGGCACCATTGAATCTACTAGAGACAAACATCTACATTTAGGATATTAAAGAAAAAAATCCTTGCCTTTGTAAAGATTACAGTGAGATGTAGGATGACACAAAAGAAATAAAATATAGACAGGTGTTGAAAAGTTATATATTTTGTGAAGAAAATAAAGTAAGGCAGGATACACAGTAATAGTGGCAGATTACAATTTTAATTAATGTATTCAGTAAGTAACATTGTAAAAATAGCATTGAAATAAACACATCAAAAGGCTGAGGGAAGAAAAAGAATATAGTTTTTCTCTACATCCCAAATTACTTCTGATTGAATGTTTTTACTGGGATCTGTTTCTGGGAGAGACTAAGAGAGTGACTAACTTTGGATAGATTCTGAATGTAGAGCAAGCAGAAAGACTCGCTGAAAGGTGGGATGTGCAATTCTTGACAAAGAAAATAAGTAGGATTGACTCTAAGATTTTTGCTTTGAGACAAATGGTCGTAGGTGAGAATGTGCATTTCAAAGTTGAGATGTTTATTAGCTTCTCAAAAGAAGACAGCATAAGAAGTTGGATGTAAGAGCCTGGCATTTAGAAGAGAAGTAAGAGGTAGAGGTACAAATTTGCAAGTTCTTAGCATAAACAATATTGTAAACCATGGCTCTGTGAGAACTCATCAAGGGAGTGGGGGTGGACACAGAAGTGTTCCAAAGACTAAGAAATAGCATACAAAGACATAAGAAGAAAGCCAAGAGGACGTGTTCTGGAAGCCAAAGAAAAAAAGCTGGGTTTTTTTGTTTGTTTGTTTATGTGTTTTTGTTTGTTTGTTTTTTAATTAAAGAAAAAGAGACTACTGATAGATCAATAAAATGAGAATAAAAAATTAACCTTTAAATTTTGGAACATGAAAATAATTAGTGATTTGAAAGGAACATTTAATTGAAATGGTCAATACTTTTCTAGTATTTTAATTGTAACTCATGCCTCACTTTGTTACCCAGGTTGGACTGGACTCCTGGCCTCACATTTTCAAATAATTAATGCTTATTTAGATTTACCCTTACATTTAACAGGTTTACAGTTGCCACTTGCTTCTCACACTTGTCTTTTTTAGTGTTTTCTTTTTTCTTTCTTTGTTACTTTAAAAAGGGTTGTTCAATGAATCCATGAGTGCGCTTTCTTAAAATTTTGTAGACCCAAAAAGTCTCAGCACTGTGTATAGTATTCTATCTTGCACTGTATATTTTGCATTTGGAACTTGGTATGCCATTGCATTATTGTATTAGTTTTTCAGTGAACTAGCTTCTTTTTAAAATATTCACCAAATCAGTGTTCTTTCTAGTTTGGATTTATTTTTATCAATTCTGTTCAGAACTTGTCCAATTCCTGAATGTGAAAATTTTTTTTCTTTAATGACTTATAGAAAATTTCCAGTTATTACCTCTAGATATTGCCTCAATACCATCTTAAATGCACCCAAAGTATCTAATATAATAATAATTTTTGTCCATCTTGCTCTATATTGATAACTTTATTTCTCTGTGATATATATTTATTATATTAATTTTAATCATCCATATCTCATAGGTTTTTAAATTCAATTACTATATTTTTATTTTTGGATATCCTTTGCCAAATCTGCTCTTCATTTCTTTTTAAATGTCTTTAGTGTTTATGTATGTTCATTACATATTATTAATTTTATAATTTTTTTCAAATTATTCATCTATTTTTACACATACTTTTAATTCTGCTGTTTTACATCTGCTGACTCTTATTGCTGGTTTTTTGTTTTTTTTTTTTGAGACAGAGTCTCACTTTGTTGCCCAAGCTGGGTTGCAATGGTGCAATATCAGCTTGCTGCAACTTCCGCCTCCCAGGTTCAAGCAATTCTCCTATTTCAGCCTCCCAAATATCTGGGATTATAGGCGCCTGCCACCATGCCTGGCTAATTTTTTGTATTTTTAGTAGAGACGGGGTTTTGCCATGTTGGCCTGGCTGGTCCTGAACTCCTGACCTCAGGTGATCCACCCGCCTCAGCCTCTGAAATTGTTGGGATTACGGGCGTGAGCCACCGCGCCTGGCATGTATATCATTTTTCATTGTGTATTTTGTAATTTTTGTTTGTGAATTTATTTTTAATATAGTTTTCAATTTAACTTGTTAGTTTCTGTAGTGGCAAATCCTTGTGTTTGCAATATTGGATTATTTCTCCATAAGAGTTTCACATTTCTTCTGCTAGGAAATCCATGGGGAATATTGGAATTGGGCTAGTTTTTATTTTATTTCTAATGTTTAAAGTTTCTGAAAAATATTGGCGTCAAAAAATTCTACTTCAATCCTGAGTAAAGAATAAAGTGCTAGTGACAAATTCCCAGTTGTGTTTTCCTTTCTTAATATTTGAGAGCCACAGCAAATGTTGCATACCCTTTGATGTTAAGCAGAAACTTTTGTCTAGACATTGACTTCAGGCTTTAAAATATGTAGTATCTCCCCCAGATTAAAGGTAACTAGTCCCTGATTTCTATTAAAATATAATTTTTAGAAGCTTAAAATCATAGCTTTCAGACAAATATAAAATGAATAGGTTTTAAAGATATTAACTTGAATTAATAAATAACAAATAGATGTTTTAAATGACACAAAGGGAATCTGAGAAACTGGGACATTTAGAAGCAATTTAGCAAAATAACATTAAGATTGCTTGGTTAAATAAATAAATATAGATTGATATATAACAGTGTCATAAATCTGTGAGGTTATCTGTTCTACTAAGGAGATATATTTGTATCTTTACAGGAAAAAAAAATTCATGGTGCAAAATCCCTTTACTAAATCTGGTACCTTTAATTATTATTGTATAGCACTTAAGTATAGGAACTTGAATATAGCCAATATATTCCTAAAGATCTAAATTACTCTCCAAATAAAATGCTTTTTGTACATAATTTTTTCTATTCCCATTAATTATCTTTCACAGTTTTATTTTGTTTTGATTTTTTCATTTGTTCCTTCCCCCTCCCCTTGGCATTCAGTTAATTCTTCTATTTTATTTCCCAAACAGGCACATTATCATTAAATGTAATGGTTGGCTGAATCATAACCACATTTAAATATTGCTCTGTTTTGCCATTTGTTTTTCTTCCTTCTTTCTTTCCTTTCTTCGTTCTTGCTTTTCTTGGCAAGCTTATGAAGTTTTATTTGTGTAATTGCTACACAAAGAAACTTCATTGTGTTTGTATTTGCCCTTCAATTGGATCATAAATGCCTTGGTGGCAATGAATGTACATAGCTATTTCTGCATCCTAAGTAGCATATATGTAGGTTTTGAATACAGGATTGATAAATGTTTGTCTTGTGAAATTAAAATAATTACTGATGTCTACATATTGTTTCCAGCTTGCTTCTCTGTTGTTTCCTCTTTAGATATGCTAGATAACCACTTCAATATGATTCTTCTTATGTAAAACCTCATATATTCTCAAAAGTATTATGTATGCATTCAACTAACTGTACATCTACAGTACAGTAAAAAATGAGATTGTAGTAAGTGAAAATGCATTTATAAGTATAGGCAAATTTTTAGGCAAGACACCTCATAAAGATCACTTTAGAAATTAGATCAAGTAAAAATAAGTCACAAAAAGAAACGTGAATTAGTCATCTTAAACATTGTTTTAGGCAGTAAAACAACATTGAAAAAAGAGGATCTTGTAAAGCCTGATACTTGATTCCTATAGGATAACTGAATCAAATCAGGTGTTTTAGAGGTAATGGTCACCTGATTGTTTTCTCTTGAGTTTTTTCATATAATAGGTGCAGTGGTTCTTGCAATGAGGAATTTTTTTATGGAAATGTGAAATAAAGTACAGAAATTCCTAATGAAAACCTGTCTTTTAAGTGGATCTCTAAATTCTAAGAAAGTGCTTATATTATCTTAGTTATTTAGCTATTAGCCTGTCAATCATTAGGAAAGTAAGAGCAATTTACAAAGCATCTACCACTGTGCTAGTACTTGCTCACATGTTCTCATCCACCTAAGGGAATATTCAAAGCATCTTAATAGTTGCTACTAATTCATATAATTTAATTAATAGAATAGCAAATACATTCTCATCTTATTTCACATTTTTAACATACACAAGATATAGCTATTTTATAGTGATTAGGTTTAGTAAAAATAACACTGATAAAACTCAACTGTTAGCATGTACAGTTTTAGGCTACGTATTTTTCAAAACAACAAAATATAATTTTTTTAGACTCAACTTGAAATTTTGTAAAAAATAAAGTTTCAGAAATAGTAAACTATCACAGAACAAGAAGCATAATAGAAAGTAGAAATTGTTTTACTATAAAAAATACTATAAATAAAAGGGCTAAATGTTTCTTAATATTCGTATACTGATACCAAATATTAGATGCCTTGAGTCACTAAATTAAATTGTCCCTAAATATTACATTTATTATTTAAAATGTTAATGTTGCTTACAAACCTCAACAGATATTTTTGCCAACTTATAGATGGGAGAATTTAAAAAGATGTTGGTGTTTTTAAAAATAGCTTTTAGAAAAGCAACAAAGTGATTTTATGTCTGGAGGTGAAGACCCTTGGAGGAATTTTTCTCATGGACTGTCAAAATATATACCCAAACCATAAGTGGATGTCTGAATAATAACTCATTTACTTTTATTTGATTTGTCAGGTTTTATTTTTCAAAACAAGAGTCAGAATAAGTGATGTCTTTTAGTTGGACTTGTTTCTATTGTTTATTAACATATCCAAGGAACACGTAGAATGAATTGGCAGAATATAATCATATTATCAAATAATTATTAGTTTAGTCAGTTTCATAAACCTAGATAATCAAATGAAAATACATAATAATATAATTATGTCATAATTTTTATCAAAATTTTAAAATTAATGAATTAAATCCAGCTACCAAAGATAAGGGTTTGTGAAAAGTAGATACAATACTAGAGTGGAGGTTGTAATGAAAACTCAGAATGGGCTATAGTATTAAAAAAAAATAAAGACCTCCAGTATTTTTTTTTCTCAAAATGGCAGATTAGAGTCATTGTTAGCATGCCTCTCCTATTTGGAAAGACAGAATTGTGTGTGGAGATTCACACTGTAAATTTTTTCCAAGAAGCAACACAGAAAATTAACAGGAAAACTGAAAGAAAGCACAGACTTTTTGAAAGAAGTGTCAGGTTGCTGTCTAAAATCATGAGCCAGGAGGAAAACTTTAAGTCCCTAGAATGTCAGATAGGGATAAACTGCCTCTAGGACATATACTCCTACTGGGGAACCAAGCAATCCAGGCCACAGGGAAAGGCCTTAATCCCACCCAGCGCTGGAGCTGATTTAGTGAGCAGTGGGGCATATATGAGAAGTAGCAGCATGGGGACGGGCTTAGTGTGCATGCCCAGCAGGACAGAGGAAAGCCATCCCTGATCCTATCTCACAGGGGACCTCACAGAAGTCAGCCAGGTAACTCAGGCAGTGGTCACAGGTTGAGAGAAGCTCTCAACTGAGATTCGTGATATAATCTCGAGTGGAGACAAACCCCCTTGGTCAGAACCATGGGGCAGATGGGAAATGTGCTGCAGCCATAGGTGCAAGAGCTGGGTGCCCCTGCTTCATGGGCCAACTAGGAGAGGCGTGACCTGGAAGCCATGGTTGCAGTCTCTTCTGGGAAGTCTTATGCCCTTGGGCAGTGTTGAGTTCTGAGTGTTGACTGCTTGGAACCAAGCTGCTGCGAGTGGGACACTGCAGGTGCAAGACCTGCTTTGCCAAGTGTGTGGGAGCTGAGTGGGGCTAACTGCTGCCTGCTGCTCCCTATTCCTCATACAGATGCTTCTCTGCAGCAGAGGCAGCTGTGGTACTCCCTGCAACATTACTCCTACAGCCAGAGGACCACTATCTGATCCCCACTGGGGACAGTGCTTTTGCCCACACATGGCAGACAAAAGAGAGCTAGAATGTGAACTTGCCTGATTCAGCCCCCAGCTGGCTTTGCCCCTCCATCTGCCCTGGTAGCTTAACACAAAGAATAGAAAATTTTGAGAGCTCAATGGCCCTGCCCATTGCCTGAGTCATCAGCTTACCTCCCCTGCGTAACATAAGGCAAGCACAAATCCCACTGCTACCAGCTGGTGCTCTTTTTCAAGTGCCACCTTGTGGCTGGAGGCCTACTGACACAATCCATTACAGCATCTGCAGGCACACTAACAGTGCACAGGAAAGAGAAAACTTGTGTGTGACCTAAGCTGTCACCTTTGCCTATATAACCTTGGCTTACTAGGAGGTCCTGAGTCTGTCCATGCGACCAGTTCATCACTACTACAGGTGGCATTACAGAAAAACCAATGCACCAAGACTACTTATAATCAAGAAATCTCACAGAGTCTATGTCATTCTCCTGTCACCCCCATGAGAGCTGTTGTTGCTACTCACTACAGAGTCTTGAGAACAGGTCACATCACTGGACCCCTTGTAGACATTCCCCAGCACCAACCTGGAGTGTGGCAGTCCCACTAGGTGGCTAGAGCCAGAGAAGTAGCAGCATTCATACTAGTCTGGCCCTCAGGGACTCCTACTCTTAGGATAAGGGGGAGTGCACATCAGTGGCACACCCCATGGAAAAAAGAATCTAGATGGCAGGACTTGAGTCCAGAACTTCCCACCTGTGGAAAGTTTCTTTCAGTAGAGGCACAGGTACAGTGCTGGACTTGGGAAAATCTACAGAACGGTCTTGAAGAAAAAGATTTCCCCCCTCATTCACCACTGCAGACACAGCTGGTGCTTCTCTTATGGGAATTTAGCATGAGTGGACCTGTAGATAGCCTTTCTGGAACACTTCAAGTTAACTGCGTCCCCAGAGGAGGAGTCCCCTCCAGATTCAGATTTGCATAAGGCATAGAATCACAATCTCTCTCTACTTGGAACATGAGAATTCCTGCAAATAAAAAGGGCCTGCTAATCTGAATAGCTAGAACTGTATTTAGGAGTGTGACCTGCTTTCCTGGGGGCCTGGCAAGGGAGCTGAAGTGGCTCCCTCCCTTCCCCGTGAAAAGACCTCAGTGCATTTCACTAAGAGCTCCCACAGATGCCTTGGTCAAGGCTTGGGCTTCTTCCCACCATTGGGTATTGCATTTACCAATCTGCTGGTTTTCACTCAGGGACACCTCCCCTACTGGCCTGAAATCTGAATTATTCAACCAGGTAAAGAAAACACTGGGAGAAAAAAAAAGGCAAAAAAGTGCACACCACTTGGGAACTAGATAAGCTTCATGAGACCTCTGCCATTGCTACCCCACAGGAAACAGTGAACCTCCACACACACACTGAGCATAATGTTACCACAACTAGCATCTGAGAAAGCCAACATACAAACATTTTAAATAACCAGGGAACTTATACAGTCTTCACCCCTGAAAGCACCCAGAGCTGAATTAGGTTACAATAAACTATAAACATTAAAGTCACATCCTCAAAGTGAAAAAAAAAAGTGAAAAATCACAGTCAAATCAAAAAATAAATTCAAAAATAATTAGAAGATATAGTCTCAAAAGTAATTAGAAGATATACTCTATCCAAATGAGAAGAAACCAGAAAAATAATTCCGGCAATAGGACAAAATAGGGTTCTATAACACCTCAAAAAGAACACACTAAGTCCCCAGCAATGGATCCCAACCAAGATGAAATCTTTGAAATGCCAGAAAAAGAATTCAAAGAAATAAGCAAAGTCTCTTAGAAATAGGTGACTATGTAAAATGGCCAAATATAGCAATTGCTGTTCCTAAGGGAGAAGAAACAGCAAAACTTTTTGAATACTTATTTGAGGGCATAATTGAAGAAAACTTTGCTAGCCTTGCTAGATATTTAGATGTCCAAATACAAGAAACTCAATGAGCTCTGGGGAGGTTCACTGCAAAACTGACATTACAAAGCCATATAGTAATCAAGCTATCTAAAGTCAACATGAAGAAATGAATTCTAAGAACAGTGAGACAAAAGCAACAAGTAACCTATAAAGGAAAACCTATTAGACTAACAGCAGACTTCTCAGCAGAAATCTTACAGGCCAGAAGTTCACTGTATCTTTAGGCTTATCTTTAATATCCTTAGACAAAATAACTATTAGTCAAAAATTTTGTATCCAGCAAAACTGAGTCTCATAAATGAAAGAGAAATAATGTCTTCCTCAGACAAGCAAATGCTGAGGGAATCTGTCCCTATCAGACCAGTCCTACAAGAAATGCTAAATCTTGAAACAAAATGTTGAGCTGCATCAGAACCTAACATACAAAGATTCTCATAGACTCAAGGTAAGGGGGTGGAGAAAGATATTCAATGCAAATGGAAACCAAAAGCAAGCAGGTATAGTTATATCAGATAAAGTAGACTTTAAAGCAACAATAGTAAAAAAAAAAACCAAAGAAAGTCATTACATAATAATTAAATAATTAATTCAACAAAATATAATAATTCTACATAAGTATGCACATAACACTGGAGCTCCTACATTTATAAAACAATTACTACTAGACCTAAGAAAAGGAATAGACAGCAACACAATAATAGTGAGGAACTCTAACACTCCACTGACAGCACTAGACAGATCACTGAAGCAGGAAGTCAACAACAACAAAAACAAAAAAACACTGGACTTAAGTTGCAGTCCAGAAGAAATGGACCTAACAGACGTTTACAGAACATTGTACCCAAAAACCACAGAATTCACATTCTTCTCATCAACACATAGAACAGCCTCCAAGACAGACCATAGGATAGGCCACAAAAACAAATCTCAATAAATTTTAAAAAGTCAAAATTATATAAAGTATCTTCTCAGGTCACAGTGAAATAAAACTAGAAATGAGCTCCAAAAGGAACCCTTAAAACTATACAATTACCTGGAAATTGAACAATCTGCTTCTTAATGATTACTGGGTTAACAATGAAATGAAGAAAGAAATTAAAAAATTCTTTAAATGGATGATTATAGTGACACAAGTTATCAAAACCTCTGGGACATAGCAAAAGCAATGCTAAAAGGAAAGTTTCTAGCACTGAACACCTACGTAAAAAAGTCTGAAAGATTACAAATTCGCAACATAATGTCATACCTCAAGAAACTATAGAAACAACAAATCAAACTTAAAGCCAGGAGAAGAAAAGAAAGATTACAGCAGAACTAAATGAAATTGAAATAAAAATACAAAAGTTTAATGAAACAAAATTTGGTTATTTGAAAATAGAAATAAAATAGATCATTAGTTAGAAGAATTAAGATTGTTAGAACAATTAACAATTGTTCTAACAATTAGAACGATTAACAATTGTTCTAACAATTAGAACGATTAACAATTGTTCTAACAATTAGTTAGAACATTAGTTAGAACAATTAAGAAGATAGAAGTTTAAATTAGCTCAATTAGAAATGAAAATGGAAACATTTTAACCAATATCACAGAAATATAAAAGATCATTTGAGACTACTATGTAACCTCTATGCACATAAAAATAAAAGTAAAGAAAATAGATAGATTCCAGGAAACATACAACCCTACCAGCTTAAACCAGGAAGAAATAGGTATCCTTACAGACCAATAACAAGCAGTGAGATTGTATAAGTAAGAAAAAAAAAATGCCGACTAAAAAACCCAGACAGATCACAGCCAAATTCTATCAGACATTCAAAGAAGAACTGGTACCAAGCCTACTGAAACTACTCTAAAAGACTGAGAAAAAGGGAATCCTCCTTAACTCATTCTATGAAGCCAGTATCACCCTGATACCAAAACCAGAAAAAGGCATATCATAAAAAAAGAAAACTACAAATGAACATCTCTGATAAAGACATATGCAAAAATTCTTAACAGATACTGGCAAATCAAATCCAAAAGCATATCAAAAAGACAATTCACTATAATCAAGTGAGTCTCATCCCAGGGAGGCAAGGATGACTCAACATACGCAAGGTAATAAATGTGATGTATTTTATAAACAGAATTAAAAACCAAATACGTATGATCATCTCAATAGATGCATAAAAACATTCAGTAAAATCCAGCATTGCTTTATGATAAAAACCCTAAACAAACTAGACATAGAATAAACATATCTCAAAATAATAAAAGCTATATATGACAAACCCATGGCCAACATCATATTGAATGGGGAAAAGTTGAAAGTCTTCCCACTGAGGGCTAGAACAAGTTAAGGATGCCCATTTTCACCACTTCTACTTAACATAGTACTGGAAGTCCTACCCAGAGCAATCAAGCAAGAGGAAGAAATAAAGGGCATCCAAGCTGGAAAAGAGGAAGACAAATTATCTCTGTTTGCTGATGATTTAAGCATATACTTAGATAAGCCTAAGAATTCCACCAAAAGACTCTTCTATTTGATGAATGAATTCATAAAATCTTAGGTTACAAAATGAATGTACACAAATTAGTACTACTGCATAGCACCAACAATGATCAAGCTGAGAATCAAATCAAGAACTCAATTTCTTTTACAATAGCAGCAGAAAAAAAATTGAAATACACTTAACCAAATAAGTGAAAGATCTCCATAAGGAGAGCTACAAAAACTGCTGAAATAAATTAGAGATGATATAAACAAATGGAAATACATCCCATGCTCATGGATAAGAAGAATCATATTTGTGAAAATGACCTTACTGCTAAAAGCAATCTACAGATTCAATGCACTTCCTATCAAAATACTGACATCATTTTTCATAGAATTAGAGAAAGCAATTCTAAATTCTTATGAAACCAGAAATAAGCTTGAATTAAAAAAGCAACTCTAAGCAAAAAGAACAAATCCAGAGGCATAGTTTTAAGAGACTTCAAGTTATAATACAAGGTTTTAGTAATCAAAACAGCATGCATGGTACTGGTATAAAGGTAGATAAATAAACCAAAGGAAAGGAATAGAGAAACCAGAAATAAAGCCAAATGTATACAACCAACTGATCCTCCACAAAGCATTCAAAAACATAAATAGGAAAGGACACCCTATTCAATAAATGATGCAGGGAAAACAAGACAGCCACATGTAGAAGAATGAAACTGGATCACTCTTTCTCACCATCTACAAAAATTAGAAGATGGATCAGACTTAAATATAAAACCCAAAACCATAAAAATTCTGGAAAAAAACTAAGAAAAACACATCTGGATATTTACCTAAGCCAAAACTTTATGACTAAGACTCCAAAAGTAAATGCAACAAAAGCAAAAATAAATAAAAAGGACATAAGTAAACTAAAAACCTTCACAGCAAAAGAAATAATCATCACAGTAAACAGATAACTCAGAGAATAGAAGAAAATGTTTACAAAGTATGCATCTAGCAAATAATTAATATCTAGAATTAACAAGGAAAACAAATCAGCAAGAAAAAATAATCCCAACAGAAAGTGAAAAAAAATTACATGAATAGACATTTCTCAAAAGAAGATATACAAATGACCAACAAACATATAAAAAATTCTCAATGTCACTAATCATCAAAGAAATGCAAATTAAAACCACAGTGAGATACCATCTTTTCCCAGCATAATAGCCATTATTAAAAAGTCAAAAAAAACAAAGAAACAGATTTTGGCATGAATGTGGTGAAAAGGGCATGCTTATACATTGCTGGTGGGAATGTAAATTAGTACATCCTTTATGTAAAGCATTATGGAGATTTTTGAAATAACTAAAAGTAGATCTAGCATTCAGTCCATCAATCCCACTACTGGTTAACTACTCAAATTAAAAAAAGTCATTGTATCAAAAATACACCTGCATGTATATGTTTATTGCAGTACAATTCACAATTACAAAGATACAGAACCAACCTAAGTGCTCCTCAACCAATGAGTGGATAAAGAAATGTGGTAAACATACACCATGACATACTACTCAGCCCTAAAAAGAATGAAATAATGTCATTTGCAGCAACTCCAACTGGAGCTGGAGGCCATTATTCTAAGTGAAGTAACTCAGGAATGGAAAACCAAATATCATATATTCTCACTTTTAAGTGGTAGCTAAGCCATGGGTATGCATACAGAGTGGTATAATGGACATTGGAGACCACTAAGGGGGAGAGTAGGAGGTGGGTGAGGGATAAAACACTACATATTGGGTACAATGTACACTACTTGGGTGACAAGGGCACCAAAATCTCAGACTTTACCACTCTGTAACCAAAAACCACTTGTTCCCCAAAAGTTATTGTGTTATATATGTATATTACATATGTCTAAGTATAGCCATAGATATCCAGGATTTTTTTTTATCCTTAAAAAACCATATGATTTAAGAGAACTTAAAGTTATTAAAATATATTATTATTTTAATTCTCCATCTCCCCTGGTAGTGTGCTATGCAAATAATAATGAGGAGATATTAAAGGTCCCTGGGTTTCTCATGGATTCTCTCAAAGCACTAGCTTCTTGAGACTCTTCACACACTGAGAGAATTAGATCTGTAGCCCTTTGTCCAGTTAATTTCTCTGATTTGCAACAATAGGAAAACTTCTTTTACTCCCCTAAGAGGGTCAAATTTTTAAAATCCTTAGATTACTAGGTTCCTAGGTTAAGTACTAGGGTAAGAGGAAGACTAGGTTTTTGTATTCATATGTCAAAAGATATGATGTTCCAGAATTTGGAGACAGCTATAGGTCATAAAAACTTGGAGATACAGGGTTATTTGGTTCCAGGAGAGATTTTACAACATTCCAAAAGTTTGGAATAAAGAAGATATCCTCTTAGAAGGACAGAAAAACAGCCGTTTCCGTCCTATTATAAGTATAAAAACAAAGACAAGGAAAAAAACCATTGTTCTTAACTTCTTGCTTTCAGAGAGTCTGGCCTCTCACTAGGATGATCTGGATCTCTTTATACTGTCCAAAGATAAGAACTGGGAAAAGGAGCAGCCAACACACATTATTAAGAAATCTGTTTCTGACTGAGAACACTGTGTGGACATTTAAAATAAAATTAACAAACTTGAGCCCAGGAGTTTGAGGCTGCCATGAGCTATGATGGCATCACTACACTCTAACGTGGGCAACTAAGTGAGAACCAGTTTCTAAATAAATAAAGAAATAAAAACATAAATAGTAAAATGAATAAGATGAGTATTAAAAGCCCAAAAACAGATTCTCAAATTTTGTTGAATATGTGAATGGATGAATAAATATGAAATGTAGATGGAGACATTAGGAAGAAGTTAGCTTCCACTGAAAAATATACACAAATCAAATTCCAAATAATTAAATATGTAGAATATAGCTTGTTTACAACAATAAAAAATAATGTTCTCTGTCAGAGAAAATTAAGAAAAGCAATTTAAACTCAACTGTTATAGAAAGAAAGATTACTATCTATTTAGCAGTGCTTAAAAAGGAGGTCATAGAGAATTAATTCCAATATAAACCTGACATGAACAGCAATGCAAAAAATTTGGACTCAATGTAAAATATTATTTGATGGTGTGAATAAATAATGAAATAAATGTTCATAAGATAAATTGTTGAAATAATTTGAAATCATTTTTGAATAATTATTGAAATAATTAAATAAATTGTTCATGAAAAATTACTCATCTTGAGGAAGACAATCCCCATTTTACTACAATTTCATTATTTTATATTGGCAAGAGAAGAAATATTTTGAAAAACATTAATAAAGTTGACTTAAACAGGAGTATGATCCTCTTTCAGATGCAAAATAGAAGATAGGGGATGGAGCAAGTCTACCTTCCTTAAAAAGGTAGCTGAAGTCATCAGGAATTGTTTGTGTCATGCTACAGACCTATACTGAAGAATAATAAATGAAACAGACTTATGAACTCATCAGATATATTTACACTAAGCATACTGATTAGAAAGTTCTCCTCATGTAATTTCTTCTTCCTGAACGATCTCAAAAAAATATAATTTCAGGTCTAGATAATTGAAATAAAAGTGCATCCCTGAAACAAATTATTTAGCTCTTACTTTTTATAAATACTCTAATTGCTAAACTTATCAGGATCATGACCTACTTTGTATAGACAAATTAAATTCTAATTCTCCAGATCACAATATATAGGCTTTAAGTCACCATAATTTTTCCCCATTTGCCTCATTTCTGCCTTTCTTTGAGGTCTCTACCTTTTGTAACTAGTTTTTAATTTGTAAAATATTTACTTAATATTAGCTGATTTATAATGAATTAGTTTAGACTAGAATGGCATTTGAATACTTGTTGAAAATAATATCACTTGTAGACCCAGAATACTTTGGTAGCTACTTCATTTTCTCTGTCTCTTTCTGAAAAGTTAGCCAGCTTGCTTTAGGCAGACACTAAGGGAAGGGTCCCCCAGAGAACCTCCTATCTGCTCCACAAGTGTTTATACCAGATGTTTTGTGCACATAAGGGTACTTGCTCCGGGGGCTTGCCTAAACATGCCCGCAGTGGAAAATTTTGTTTCTTAACACGTGGGCAGTAAGAAAAATAAATCAATATGGAATGTCTCAGACTAAGGGTCTGCATGCACTCTGGAAGGATGCAGTGGAGCCTACAGGAATTCACGCCTTATACAAATAGGGAACTCAGCCCCATCAGCTTATATAAAAATGCCTTTGATTCACCTGTGAAGAGGGCAACCGGGAACCTACTTTCAGGACTCCTCTCTTTGCTGAGAGCTTTCCTTTAACTTAATAAATTCTATACAATTCAGAACAATGTGCTCTCCCTCCGTTTTTAGAGACATGTCCCTTACCCCAACCTCCAATGGCCACAGGTACACATGTGAGACAAATGGGAGAGTGGCAACTCCCAACCCCCTCCCCTCCCGTCTGGGGCACATAGCCCAAGGGCCCCACTTGGCTAGGTGGCCAGCTTTTCCTGCTCACTCTTCCCTCTCCCCATGCACCCACAGTGTCTTTCCTCCCCTGGCTGAGCCAGAAAGGAGGAGACAGCAATTAAAATGTTCTCTCCCTATTGGAGGAACTCATTTGCATAAGAATAAAAGGTTTCTCCTCCAGGCATCTTCCCCACCCTGCACTTAAGCTGTTTTATTTTATTTTTTTTTCTTTTCTCCACTTTGTAAGGAGTTAACTTTTATGAGAGGTTTTTTGTTGGTTTTTGTTTTTGTTTTTTCTTATTAGGCCAGGACCCCAATTCCCAAGACAGCCTTTTCTCTCCCTTGTTTAAGGAAGACCCAGCTCCAAAGCTTTAGGTTAGCATGACTCATTGCTGCCGATTAGGCCCCCTTCCATCTCGTGGATAGAGGTCATTCTAGTATCCACGGCATGTATGAAATCCAGAGAACTCAAAAGTTATCGACAACAGTGGGACAAGCAGCGCATGGGTAATGGTGGATAACTCGCACCCTGTAAGCCCCCTGTTAACATAGGTGAAAGCTGCACTGGCACCCATGGGTGGTAACCTGCCAAGATCACCAGGACTCAGGGATATAAGAACAGAAGAAAGAAAGAGGACACTTTTCTCCTCTCCCTCATGTACCTCAGGTATTTACTAGGAAAAAGAAGAAACTAGGGATGCCTTGCTCCCCTCTTCTTAGGTGAGTAACCAATCATCTGCAGCCCATATTTCTCTTGATTGCCTCCTGAATCACTAGGACTCTTCTGGAAAAACACCTCCTTTCTCCTTTTTCCTCCTCTGTCCTCTCTTTGTGGGTGGGTCATTGTGTCGCTGTACCACAGGACACTCCCTTTGGATGCATCTCTTAAACTGGGAAAAGTTAATTTCTCCAAACCTTAAACTGCTTGGCTCAAAACTGAGCATGAAAAAGGGCAACTCAGAAGCCTGGTACACCAGCAAAAGGGTAAAAGTTCTTACCAGGGCCGGGTGCAGTGGCTCACGCCTGTAATCCCAGCATTTTGGGAGGCCAAGGCAGGCGGATCATGAGGTCGGGAGATGGAGACCATCCTGGCTGACACGGTGAAACCCCATCTCTACTAAAAATAACAACGACAACAACAACAAAAAATTAGCCGGGCGTGGTAGCGGGCACCTGTAGTCCCAGCTACTCCGGAGGCTGAGGCAGGAGAATGGCGTGAACCTGGGAGATGGAGCTTGCAGTGAGCGGAGATCACACCACTGCACTCCAGCCTGGGGACAGAGGGAGACTCTGTCTCAAAAAAAAAAAAAAAAAAAAAAAATAGTTCTTACCAGTCAGACTTCTGGCCTCCTTCTCCCTGTGCAAACCAGTTGAATAAATGATAAAATCCCTGTTTAAATCACTGTTTATATACTCTCTGAAGTTCTGATAAATAGAAAAAAAGGATTTATGAGGCTAGTCTTAAGCTGTAGCCAATGTAGTGTGCTTTGTGTGTCTTTCTGTATAGTTCTGTCATAAAGAGGGGTACCTTAGGATAGAATGCAGGCCTAGGACCCCAAAAGTTTGCTGATCAAACCAGCCTGGCAAACTGGTCAGTAACAAACCTTGCTGCAGTTCTTCATCTTGTTTTTTGTCCTTAGGAGCTTGACCTTGTAACCACTTGATAATACTTTCTTTTGGCCTCTGCCATTTTACAATGGTGGCCTGGGTTTAATCCCGGCTTAGGGAATGAGTATATTTTGGCCAATATCTGTGTGACTTTTACCATTTGCTGATTCTCTTCCCCTCTATAAACAACTTTAGCTTCCTTTCTTAAATCTTCCTTTGTCTGAACCAACTTTAAAGATCTTAGATTCTGTAAAAACTGCTTAGCACCTCTTTGAAAATAACTTTTACACTTACAGTTAAGTCATAACCTTAGTTGAGGCTTGTTGGTTTCACCTGTGAGGTTATTTTTAATAAAGTTCAAAAGCCAGAAATATTGGCTGCTCGGCATGGCTAAAGTTGGGTAATAGATATGAAACGATTTTCTTAGAGCACAGCTGAATTCAAAGTGGATATCCAAGTTATAGGTATATTTAAAGGCCTTTAAATTTTTCTCTGCATGGATCTTGTTTTTCTGGAAAAAGGTTCTTTCTCTGTTGAATGATTTTTTTTTTCCCATTTTGTCTTGTCATTCAGTGCATACATGAGAGGCTCTAAGATAACTTCTGATAGCCCGGGGCTCCTGGGAAAAAACAAAGAAGGTGCCGCAGACCCCATTTTGGGGAAAAAACACCCTCTGTTTTCCTCACGAAACTCCAGGAATTAAAAGTGGATAGATCCTTCTCAAAATCTGTCTCTGTCTTCCAGCTATGCCTGTTTATTAGGCCCTAGAAACTGTATGCTGTCCTAGACCCTGCTCTTGAAGGGCTTCACCCAGAGGCCAATAATCTATTCAGAAGATTGGCAAATGAAAAATCTTACAAGTACTGAATTTGCTTTTGTTCATCTGTGTAATTTTATATTTCTTATGGGCGTGATGTTTATATAAAAAAGCTCTAGGAAAATAAGCACTTAGATCAAATATTTTTTGAAGAAAAATAAAAGCTGTAATACCTTTTCAGTTCACATGACTATAATCTTTAAGAAATAAAGGCTGTTTTAAAAATAATTGGTAAAATACAAATGTCTTTAAAATGTAAATATGTGGGCTGAATCATGTAGGTCAAATGCTAGGTTAGCTAAATGCTTCAAAGTTATTAACTGCTTCTTTGGCTTTTAAGAACTATTTGATGAAGTTTGGCTCTGTGTCTCCACCCAAATCTCATCTTGTAGCTCCCGTAATTTCCATGTGTTGTGGCAGGGACCCAGTGGGAGATGATTGAATCATGAGGGTGGGTCTTTTTATGCTGTTCGCATGATAGTAATGGGTTTCATGGATCTGATGGTTTTAAAAATGAGAGTTTCTCTGCACAAGCTCTCTTTTTTGGTTTGCCACCATCCACATAAGATGTCACTTGCTCCCCCTTGCCTTCTGCTATGATTGTGAGGCCTCCTCAGCCACGTGGAACTGTAAGTCCAATTAAACCTCTTTCTTTTGTAAATTGCCCAGTCTCAAGATTGTCTTTATCTGCAGCATGAAAATTGACTAATACACTATTCAATTTGCCTGCTTCACAATTAATAAGTCCAGGGACATATGGAATTAACCACACCCTTAATTATGCAGGAAGGAATCAGACTTTATTTATGCCTACTACATAATTAAAGCAACTTGCCAGGTTTTACATTAAAGTTAAAAATTGCTAGGAGTTACCATAATAATCTGTAATCGAGACAATGAAAATAGATTTACATATAAGGTAAGTAAGGAAAGTAAAATATGTTTTTAGTAAAAGATTATAAGAATGCATGAAAATGTAAATTTTTGCCTTGGGTTAAAGGATTGTTTTGAATTAGATAAGATAAAGCTGAAGGTTTAAACAAATGGTGAAAAGTTTGTAAAACTTAATCTTGCAAAAGAAATTGTGTGAACATATTGGCTAATTTCAAAAAAGTATTTTGTTTTTGTAAATTGAGCATTGAAATAAAAGCACAACAAGGTTTTCTAAAGGCGCTGACCTGCTCTTTAACAACAATTTGTAAAGGGTTATAAAAGTTTAAAAAAATCTCACCTCATGGTCAAACTAGATAAGATTAGATATAATTATCTATAAGTTTTCATTAAAAAAATTAGGGTTGACATCAACAGTAGACTAATGCAAGGATGAAATTAGGCTTTCACTTGAACAGCATTTCCCTGTAAAATTAACGACAGATTGTTTGGAAAGCTAAATTTTCCCTCTTCCTGTGAATATGCTTTTGCGTTGTTTTAAAATGTTTGAGTCATCATTTTGGCTAAAATAAATGACATGTGGTAACTTGGAATTCTATTTTATAGTATCAAGTGCTTTGAACCTCTAACGTAATTAACAGTCTTCCCAAAATCAAACTTCAGTTTTAAAATTGTCTTTCCTGGTCCCTGGAACATCCAAAACAGAAGAAAACTGGGTTTTTTGAAATGTTTAGTTATATGGTATTTCCAAAGTTGTATTTAATCTGCTTTAGGTTATATTTTAGTGAATAATATTAATATGTTTCAAAATTATATGAGATTTCTAAAATTCTAATGTCTGAGTATATGCTATCAATCATAATTAAGGTTATTATGTTTAGTTATTGTAAACCCTAGAAATAACTAAATTTCTTTGTCAATTGTATTCTTGACAGTAACTACCCTGGACATTTCATCATTCACAGACAAATGTCTTGTTTTGATCCTACTCAAAAGATGATTTATAATCAGCTATAGGATTTTGACAAGTGTTCTCAAATGCAAGATTCCATTAACTCTGGAGATTATGACATTGAAAAAAATACAGTACTCATGAAGAACTGAAATGTTCATGAATATCAAGCAGAACAAGAGAACAGAATGGATTGAACTAATAGAAAACAAGTATTATTTTTAACCTTTTTGCTTAAAACTTTGGTGATCCTTGCTTTATTTTTCTGAGTCAAGGATACTTATTTTGACCTATTTAAAACCTTTAATAATTGAGTAAACTATACGCCTGTGAACAAAATTTGAAGGATGTTTGTTTCTCTCTGCCTGGCTTTGCCAGAATTTGGAAACTATTTGTGAGAATATTTAATTTATGGCAATTCAGTTATTTTCATCAGTGCAATAAGAATACATTTTCTTTTGCAACAGGACACAATTGAAGAAACTGGGGGTTTTACCAAGGCTTTTACTGGAAGGGTATATGTTCCTTTAAGTCATTAAGCTGGACTTGCCAATAAAAGTCCCTTGGGAAAACTGGCTACATACCTTGTCAACACAGTCCTTGTACAAGGTTCCTAACCCATGGGGAGTAAAGCATGTCACTTTTTAACAGGCTTAGGAGCCTGTTAAAAAGCTTGTTCTTGGGACATCAAGAAGAGAATGATTTACCAAACTTGTAGATATTTGAGGGTGGAAACCCTTGGCTGGGCTTGGCCTTAAAAGGTCTTAACTGAGATGCCTTATGGAACAGAGTTCCATCAAAGCCAATTTAAAAGCCTATGGGAAAAATAATTATTCTTTTTGCACTTTATGCAAATAAGACAAGTATAAGGCTAAAGTTTATTTTTTCAAACAACTGAGTCCTATCATGATTTGTTTTTGACAAAAATGAGGACTGGAGAGAGAGAAATTATGTTTCAAAACGTATTCTACATTTGTCATTACATTATAATCCCATTAGTTGTTTTTAAGTTTTTGCCTACATTTTAGACTACCCTGCTTGTTCCTGTGGACCAACCAGCAATGTACGGCTGCAGCTCAAAAGAACCAAAGGGACGAGTAATATAAAAAATCTGGATCAATATTTTAATTCTGAACAATTATCCTGCAAATCCTTCCAGGTGATCGGAGTAAATAGGTGCCCATAACCCAGAGATTTCTTTGTTTGGGAAAATAAGACCAAGGGAGCTAATCAAAGCCAAGCCCCATGAATACAAACCTTAGCAGGCATAACTATAGCCACGAGTTATCTGGCTGTATTGGCAGCCTTGAGATTTTGTTTTGTTTTGTTTTGTTTTGAGCTGTCCTTATCCCTTTGTTTCATTTTGAATATGTCTTCTAATAACCCTAATTGTTTCTTCTCACTTAAAGGCCGTTCAACATCAAATGGTGATGCAAACAGAACCACTCATGAACACACCGTTCTCTTTGGGGACCCTTAAACTGACCTCAGGAGGAGCCTTAACTGCCACTTTCCCAAAACAGCACCCCTTGTCAGCAGGAAGCAGTTAAGAGCAGTCGTTGTACACTTTCCCCAACAGAATTTGGGGTCTCCACTCCTGAAGGGAGGAATGAAAGGAGTCAGCCAACTTGCTTTAGGGAGACAGTCAGGAAAGGGTCCCCTGGAGAACCTCTTACCCACCCCCCAGGTGTTTATACCAAATATTTTGTGCGGATAAGCGTACTTGCTAAGGGAGCTTGCCTAAACATGCCCATAGTGGAAAATTTCGTTCCTTAACATATGTGCATTAAAGGAAATAAATCAATATGGAGAGGCACAGACTAAGGGCCCACATAACTCACTGGAAAGGTGGAGTGGAGCAACCAGGAATTCATGTCTCATACAACCAGGAATTCACAGCCCTATCAGCTTGTATAAAAATGTCCTTGTTGCCGGGTGCAGTAGCTCACACCTGTAATCCGAACACTTCGGGAGGCAGAGGCGGGCAGATCACTAGAGCAGGAGTTGGAGACCAGCCTGACCAACATGGTAAATCCCATCTCTACTAAAACTACAAAAATTATCCGGGCCTGGTGACATGTGCCAATAATCCCAGCTACTCAGGAGGCTGAGGCAGGAGAATCACTTGAACCTGGAAGGCAGAGGGTATAGTGAGCCAAGATCACGCCATTGCACTCCAGCCTTGGCAACAGAGTGAGGCTCTGTCTCAAGAAAAAAAATGCCCTTGTATTCAACTGTTAAGGGGGCAACCAAGAACTTGATGTCAGGACCCCTCTCTTTGCTGAGAGCTTTCCTTTCACTAAATAAATTCTACTACACTTACTCTTTGAGCGTCCATGTGCCTACTTCTTCAGAACTTAGGCCTAGCTGGGCTAAGGAGCAAAAAACCCTGCATCGTATCTCAAACTCAACCTTTAAGTTTTTGTCCTACTAGTCTCCTTCACATTTTGCAATACATTAAAATTGCTTCAAGGTTTTTTCAAAATGTGTTTTTGGTAATTCTGCTAATTTATGCTGTTTAAAACATCCTGGCTGAATGATTTCAAATAAATTTTATAACATCTATTTCCATTTTTTTTTCACTCAGTACATATGAATCCACTGTTTAATCCAAATTTAAAGTAACAATCATTAAAGTAAATTAAAATGGAGTCCAGGCCTGAAGAATTTCTGAGCAGACAAAACCAGTTAGGCATCATAAGTGATCTAAACCTTGTTTGATCTACAGATATAAGGGAAACTTGAGCTATTATCAATTTCTATATTAAAGAAAAACAGAACTTAAGTTCAACCAATCAGAAGTAGCCAACACACATAATCATACAACTGAAGACTTTCCAGTGGGATAGACCTAATAACGTACAACTTTGGTACCAAATAAGGTACAAATAACTGTACAACTATAAATAGTCAAATATTATCTTTAGTTTTCTTCTGTGCCTGTCCTCTAAAAGCCTCCCCCTGTGATCCCTCAGTGGTGCTCTTAAGCCACTTTTATGGTTTGGAGCTGCCTGAGTCATAAATCATTGTGTAAATAACATATTTAAAATTTTATTGTGTCTTAGTTTATCTTTTAACACAGTGGTCCTCAACCCTTGGTTATGAGCTATGGCTTGTTAGGAATCAGATCATACAGCAGGAGGTGAGCGGCAGGTGAGTGAGCATTACCACCTGAGCTCTGCCTCCTGTCGAATCAGCTACAGCATTAGATTCTTATAGGAATGTGAACCCTATTATGAACTGAGCATGCAAGGGATCTAGGTTGTGCATACCTCATGAGAATCTAATGCCCGATGATCTGAGGTGGAACAGTTTCATGCCTGTATTAGTCAGGGTTCTCCAGAGGGACAGAACTTATAAGATATATGTATATATGAAAAGGAGTTTATTAATGAGAATTGACTATATGATCACAAGGTGAAGTCCCATGATAGGCTGTCTGCAAGCTGAGGGGCAAGGAAGCCAACAAAGGCTTAGTTCAGCTACAAAAGCCTCAAAAGTAGGAAAGCTGGCAGTGCAACATTTAGTCTGTGGCCAAGGGCCTGAAAGCCCCTGGAAAACCACTGCTGTAAGTTCAAGTGTTCAAAGCCTAAAGAACCTGGAATCTGATGTCCAAGGGCAGGAAGCATCCAGCACAGCGCAATGATGAAAGCCAGAAGACTCATTAAGTCAGCTTATCCCACCTTCTTCCACCAGCTTTGTTCTAGCCAAGCTGACAGTCAATTGGATGGTGTCCACCCACATTGAAGATCGGTCTTCCTCTCCCAGTCCGACTCAAATGTTAATCTCCTCCAGCAACACCCTCACTGACACACCCAGAAACTATTCTTTACCAATTATCTAGGCATCCTTCAATCCAATTAAGTTGACACCTATTATTAACCATTACAATCCTGAAACCATCCTCTGCTCCCCTGTCCGTGGAAATATTGTCTTCCACAAAACCAGTCCCTGGTGCCACAAAGGTTGGGGACTACATAGAACTCAATGAAATGAGAAGTAGTTTCTGATTCAGCTAATGTCTGTTAAGTGATTCTCTCTATAGATCCAAGTATTATGAGCAACCTCACACAATCACATTCATGAGATTTCTATTACTCTGTGTGTTGGACTTCAAGGAAGGAATGGAATGCCATCATTAGGCACCAAATACTTCCACTATTGATTAGCATTGAGATTTTTAGTAAATATTTAGGAGTACTGGGGGATGAAGGAGAGACAACACTATTTATTCTTGTACTAGAATACTCATTTCTAATGCCTATAATTAAATCAATAGGAAAGTTATGGAGAAAATCTGGGCATTTTGAGATAGTTGAAGAGTAAGTATTCCATATGTATGTCAGTTGAAAATTATTTTTGCTATTTGCTTTTGAAAGAATATAACAATGTTAGCAAATGAACAAGGTAATTCCTGGCTGAATTATATAATTATTTACAGTACTCCCAAAGATATTAATCTATTACCATTATATGTAATTCATGGGGAATGATATTAAACAATAGATAAAATATCAAGTTAATGTGTTTCAGGACATCACTCACAGCATAATGAAAAACTGACTTACTTCTGTATTTCAATAGCTTCAATACTCATTCAACATTACTGTGCATTACAAATCTATTGGTAAATTGCTTGCAAAAATAAGACTGAAAACAATTTTAAATTAAGTGTACAAATTTTTCTCTTTTTCTTTTGAAATAATTAATATTTTATTTTATTACTATAGTTTCCTTTAACTCTATAATTTGAACTGAGATGTTTGGAGAAAAAGTATTTTTAAAAGAATTTATAACAATAAGAATAACTGTTAGAATGCCAGTCCTATCAAGAAATGTTAGAAATATATAAGCAAAACTCAAAAGTAAATATCACTGTCTGTCTAACCATATTCCATGCATAGCTTCTACTACTGTTCCCCAGAATTGTCTGTTTTATCATTTCTCTTGACTTTTGATACATTTATTCATATATCCTCCATCCTCACTTAGTCCCTACTGTTTGTACTTCGGCATCATATCAACCCTATCTTGCCACTTAAAAGACAAAGTAATACTACTTTTTCAGTTTTTTTTCATTTAATGTAAGAAGTTATCATTTCCCCAATAGTGAAATGATGCAAAATGATTATTTGATGTATTGTCCAAATGGGTTCAGGTTTGTGACAGTCTCAAACACATCAGGGAGTAGGGACACCCTTCAGTTAAAGCACAAAGTTGTATTTTAATCTGTATTTTACTTTTAAAAAAGATTTTTTCTCAATATCACATAAACATCAAGCTCTTTATTTTACCTCTCTATTTACTTATTTACACGATTTAAGATTGAACATTTTTCATTATCAAAATTATTTTCAAAATATGTGTAAAATTGTTGAAATCTTAATTTTTCCAAAATGACAGCTGACTCCTCTTAAAGGTAATGGGAATCTTAGAATGTTATTTGCAAGTCAGTCTACAGCATTCTTTTCATATATAAAATGTTGTGTACTAATTTTTGAAATATTTGTAAATTAAATAGGTCATTTTTCTTTCAGGAGAAAGGAGACTTTGAGAAATTTTTGTGCAGGAGAAGAGTAGTTTTAAAAATAGGTAGTTTGCAATAGGGCAGACTAGTTTTAAAACTCTAAAATGAGAGCAAGTCAATAAGAGTCTCGATTAAATCTAGTGATCTTATTATTTATTTATTAATTGACATGTAATAATTGTACATATTCATGGGGTATAATTTCATACCTGGATACCTATCCATGTTGTATAATGATCCATTCAGAGTGAATCTATTATCTTACATATTTATCATTTCTTTGTGGTGAGAACATTCGAAGACAACTCTTCAAGCTATTTTGTAATATACGATATTTCACTGTTAACCATACTTACTCTACGTGCAACACAACACCAGAATTTTTTGCTCTTATCTAGTTGTAATTTTATACCACCAATCAAAGTTTCCTCATCCTTCTTTTCGTCCTCCTGTCTTTAGTCTCTGGTAACATTTTTCTACTCTCTGCTTCTATGCTATTAACTTTTTTAAATGTTTGTATTTTCTTTTTTTTTTAGACTCCACTTATGAGTGAGATCATGCTGTACTTGTCTGTCTGTGTCTGGCTTATTTCACTTACCATGATGTCCTCTAGATTCATCCATATTGTCATAAATGGCAAGATTTTATTTTTTATGGCTAAAGAGTACTTCATTGTATACAGATAGTGCATTTTCTTTTTGCATTCATCTGTTGCCAGACACTTAGGCTTATTCTGTATCTTGGCTATCATACATAGTGCTGCAATAAAAATGACTAGGTGCATTGCAATTAGCTTTAAAAAGATGGAACGGCATTGTAAGGACAGACCATGAATCTAAGCCCTTAGGTTGAATACTTAGGTTGAATAAAATTGTTGGAAGAAGTGGCTATTTGATGTATGTAATGAAAGGGATTCTTACTTGGCAGGTATTATTAGGAGAAAAAAAAAGGGAGAGAAAGTTGAAGGAGAGGGGAAAACTGCCACAGCAGGTTAAGCAACTTGCTTTAAAATAATTGGGATTAGTAAGTGTGCAAAGATAGAACTGGTGATGAAAGAGTGAGACTGGAATTAGGAATTAATTTGTAATACTAATGTTGCAGGTTGGGTCCTGGTTATGAGATTAAGTGGATGCTCATTCTTTGGAGCTATAACTGACCAGTGCCACATTAACAGATTTGGAAAATATGAGATTAACTATGAAGGTACAGAAAATAAAGGTATTAAAATTCTTTCTATATTTTAGATCTAATTGTTAATAATATAGTATATACACATCCATACTATATTATATATGTATATTACATATATAATAACATATATATGTGAAAAGCTATGGTAAATAGAAAACATTAGCTGGGCATGGTGGCTTATGCCTATAATCCCAGCACTTTGGGAGTTGGAGGCAGGAGGATACTTGAGCCCAGGGATCTGAGACTAGCCTGGGTAATATGGCAAGACCATGTCTCTACAAAAAGTAAAGAAAAGTAGCTGGGCCTGGTGGCACACACCTGTCATCAAAGCTACTCTGGAGGCTGAAGTGTGAGGATCACTTGAATTCAAGAGGTCAAGGCTGTAGTGAGCTGTGTTCCAGCCACTGCACTCCAGCCTGGGTGAGAGCACAAGACCCTGTCTAAAAAAAAGCAAAAGAAAAAAGAAACATTATTGAGGAGAAGAGATAAATAGAGTCTTAGAAATTTGAATTGATACATGAGTAAAGAATGACCCAATTATTTTTTACCGGGAATGGGAAAATAAATTTTATTCAAGTCCACAATATAGTTTTTAAAGCATAGACAATATAATACAGGGGTTGGGGGCGTGGTTACAACAATGTTAGAAACACTGAAAGAGCAAAAGGGGCCTGCTACTCCAGATGATGAGCAAATGAAGGAAGCCACTTCCATCCTTAACTGTGAAAAATGAGTAGGGGAAGGTGGTGCATTCTGGGTCCCATGATTCCAGACTGACCATTGGCCCTATTTGAGCGCAGCTGCCATTAGGCAGAAACTCTGGACTCCAAACTCTCAGTAAAACTTCTGAAGACACTGCTGTTGCTATTGCAGCTGTCAGCACCATTGATTCAGCTGAGAAGCAGCACAGAATATCACACTGACACCCACGCTGTTGGTTGTGTTTTTTTGAACCAGATTGAAATTAATATCTATTGTATGGTTCAATTTCTATGAAGTTCAATGTCAAGCAAATGTAATTTATAAAGATAAAAGTAAGAACAGTGGTTGCCTATAGTAATGATTGGAGGTTCACTATAGAGACTCCTGGATTCTAGTAATACTCAATTCATATTCATGTAGGTTGTGATGACATTAGTATTTTACGTTCTAAAAATGTTTAATGCTATATGCTCAAGATCTGTGTCTTTCACATGTGCATATCATATTTCATATTTCAATTAATAAATCAGTAATAAAAGTTCCAGTTCAGGATACAATACTGTAGAACAATCCAAAATATTAATTTATTCCTAAAGTTTTAAAAATATTAGAATAAATACGGAGCATTTTGTTAAAACAGTATGGTAAACCTAAATGTAAAAAAAAATTAAATTGAGTTAGGAATTTCAAAAAGACATTTCATGTGCCTTTTTAACTTTCAATTTCATATGAAAGTTGAAAAAACTTGAAATCAGTTAAGTGTGCATGTGTATGTAAAACAAAATTACTGCATATAAAAACTTTTTTGAGGCATCTAGAAAATATTTAGCAGTGTGCCATAGTTTAGAGGCATTTTAAAATGCTTTTTAGTGGTACATAAAAAATTAATTAATGACAGAGTCTATGAAAAACAAGTAGAGCAGCTTGAAATAATTCACATATTTTTCATGTAAAAGTTTTAGGAGAAGTCCAGTGATGTCACGATAGCTCTACGATGTTGATTTATTTTGTCGCTTTTATATGCTTATTTTATATACAAAATAGCTGAAAACAGCTATGAATTCTAAAGCATGGTAACAGGGGTAAAAGGTCACACACATTTCTTTTAGATGCTGCAAATATTGCTTCTGTTCACACGTTATCGTCCAAAAATTAGTTACATTGACTCATCAAAGTGCAAAGAGGCTGGTAAATGTACTTTAATTTGCTAAATGCCTTGCAAGATATAGGGATGTATATTGAGAAGACAAAGAATGGAAGTGAGAATTACTTGTTATTTTGACTTCCAACTATTGGAGAACATTCCCAAAGAAATATTATACTAAATTTCTGCCTGAATAATTATTTCAGCATCTCTTTCATGGTCTTTGCTTAAGGGCAGTGCTTCCAGCTGAGGCTGCATACAGTCTCATATTCCATAGACTAACTGTCTAGGGTAATTCAGACTTATAACCTAAGTTTATGTTACAGCTTTTCTAACTTATGTTCCTTTGATGGAGTTTATCCTCATTGCCCCACCCCCCAAATGGTTTACTAATAAAGTATAGTCTAAAACAGAAACATTATTCTTTTTATATTCTTTAATCTCCATTGAAATAAACACAATTTGTAGAATTATTAACTAATACAAATTAATTGAAAAGAAGCATCTTTCTTTTATATGAACAATGACATAGTTCAAATTTATCTTGAAAACAGTTTTAAGCACAAGTAATTACGCTGAATATGTAAATAACCCATTTATAAGTAGGTCAATAGGAAAACATTTCAACAAATTTCAAACTTGATATCATTTCTAGATCTTATGAAATAATGGAACATGTTTTGGAAGGTAAGAGAAGTTTACTTAGCCAATAATAACAGGTCTCAATCAATTATTTTTTAACAGCTAGTTTATCCCTGGATATACCTTACTATATCCTGTTTTTAGATATGGCATTTGAAAACCTCCAAGAATATAGATATAATTTTAATTGAGCTATTATGGTTAGTATTTATTTTTAAAGTTCTGAATTTTTTTAAAAAATTCAATTTCTATGGTATATTAACAAGATTGATTGGAATAATGCATTTTTTTAATGTGGTGGGTTGGTGATATGTTTTTCTTCTGAGAAAGAAGGCTGTTCATAATCTTAAATTATATTAGGTTTTAGAAACAACAAAAATTGTGGGATTCCCTTAATGGCTTTCTTGCACTTGAGTTCTAAAATATTTATCAATCTCAAATATATTTTGCATTATGTTGAAAAATGACTATTAATAGTTTCTGCTAAAAGGAATTATCAACTTTTTATGCATCACCATTTCAGAGTTGGGCTTATAAAAATATCAGTATCTGTCCTACATATATACCAATGTTTTTCAATTTTTAGTCAATTAAATATGTTTCATTGATTTTCTGCTGTGTGCCTAAAATTGTGCATGATGATATTATAGAAGGTACTGTGAAAAGGCTTAAAGCAGTATATTTAACCACTGCCTACCAGAGTAGTACATAGAGAAGCAAACCTAATCTATAAGCAACAATGAGAGCGTGCTACAGATAACTTTTAATATTGTAAATATATATGATACAGACGATAAAATCTTTATGAAATAATCTATAGGAGAGGTGAAATGGGTCTCTGCCAGGAGAATGCAAAGGCAGTAAAAAATTAAAAACCAAAATATTGAGAATTATTTTGAGGAAAGTGTTAGTAGAATTTAATAATACATTTAATAGAAACATAAGATTAAAAATGCAAAGATGAATTCAAAGTTGCTTACATTCAAAAATAACTCATTAAATGTACAGTATTTTAAGCACACTTTTGATCTATGAAGAGTATAAATATGAATAAGACATAGTTCTTTAGGCTAGACATAGAGAATATTTTTTGTGCAGAAATAAAATCTAGAGTATGTAATATTAGGGGAAAGAAAATGCCTCATAGATGTCAATAAACCTTGTTCCCTCTATTTTTTTTTTACTGGTTTCATTTCCTGTAATAATTGTGGTAACAGTAATGCTGAAAAAATTAAACCTCCAACTCTTAAAACAATAAAAGTTATTGCTTGCTTAAATAATAGGAATGCTATCTGTGATTTCCTGCAGGGTCATTCAAAGATTTATTATTTTCCCATCTGTGGTTTTGCCATCCTCAATACATAGCTCTTGGGGGTTTTCTGTGGATTGTTTTAATGTTAGCCAACCAGAGAGAATAAAAAGAGTGTTAAAAATTATTAATTCTGGGTCTATGTGACCCTGTAAGAAGGCTACATCACTACTATATACTTAGAACCTAAATTTCTATGCCAAAATATAGGCGAATATAGCAAATATTGTCCAAATTTACAAGGAAAGAGAAAATGAATTGTGTGTTCATCTTACAGTTTCTAATAAAATCCCCAACATTGAACTTAAATGACTCTCCAGTTGTTCATTAGGAGCATATGCTGTTGGTTGACTGCCAGCATACATTATCTCACCTTTTCTTTCTAAAATAGAACATATTCAATATATCCAAGGCTTCCAAGGCTTCAGTACTTCTCTAAGTTTACTGTCTCGTCTTCAGATTCAGGTATGATGTGATTACTCTAAGTATAGCCTGATTCTTTGCCAAAAATAAGAACAAAAATACGCATATGGCCCAATTCAGTACAAAGGCAAATCAGGGCAAATTACCTTAAGAGTTTTTAAGATAAATGTTTCTCTTGGTGTCTCTTTCTTGGTCTTCTGGGTAAGGTTGTATCTGAATATGATGACCCTAAATGTCTGCAGACATTTTTGCAGAAATGTTAAGGGTAAAAGTGACACAGCCAATAGCAAAGAAGTGCCAGAAAATACGTAAGCAAACTGTGACCTCTTTTTACCTCTTGATTGACTTTTATGTTAAATAATGAATTTACCTTATGCTTGAAAGAATTTGAAATAGTATTTGGCAGTGAAGAATTTACTCCTCCCATATTTTCATTCAAGAGAAATTTCCATGAGGAGGGTTGTTGGTGGGTTACCTCCAACTCAACCACTTCAGAGCTACTACAGTGGTAATGCATGTTGAAGAAAAGAGTCAAACTCTGTGAAATATTTGAAGAGATTTATTCTGAGGCAAATATGAGTGACCTCGGCCTGTCACACAGCCCAGGAGATCCTAAGAACATGTGCCAAGGTTGTTGGGCTACAGCTTGGATTTATACATGTGAGGGAGACATAAGACATCAATCAGTACACCTAAGATACACATTGGTAAAATTGGGAAAGGTGAGACAACTCAAAGCAGGTGGGGGTGGGGTGGGTGAAGGCTTCCATGTTAAAGGTGAATTCGAAGATTTTCTGATTGGCATTTGACAACTGGCTAAAATAATTTATCTAAAGACCGGAATCAATAGACAGGAGTGTATGGGTTAAGATAAGGTGTTTTAGAGACCAAGGTTCTTATGCAGATGAAGCTTGCAGGTAGCAGGCTTCACTGAGAATAGATTGTAAATGATTTTTATCAGACATAAAAAGGAAAAAGGACTTGGAATCAGGAAAAATCAGGAAAAAGACTTGGAAAGAGAAGGGGATTCTCTACAAAATGGAGATTTTCCCCACAGAAACAGCCTTGTAGGGCCATTTCAAAATATGTCAAAGAAATGTATTTTTGTGGTGAAATACTTTGATTTCTTTCAAGGCCTGCTATCTGTCATGTTGATATCTTATTGCTACGAAGAGTCTGTTTTGTCATTCTTAAGTCTCTACTTTAATGTTAACACTGTTCAGCTATGCATGAATTCCGAAAGGATGAAAGTAAATAACGAAGCATGTTCAACCACC
This sequence comes from Homo sapiens, assembly GCF_000001405.40. Lineage (NCBI taxonomy): Eukaryota > Metazoa > Chordata > Mammalia > Primates > Hominidae > Homo > Homo sapiens. The sequence continues at coordinate 39,919,743 of NC_000009.12, read as the reverse complement.
CATTTCCATCATGGCCATTACTGTTTCAGGTTTAGTTTAAAATGCCCTTGGCCAAGATAAAGGGCCCATTTAGTTGGTTAACGGACATTGAATTTTATTTTTGGCTTACATGCAGGTGCCATGCTCTCCTTAGGTTGCTCCCTGCCAATGCTGAGCAAGGAAGATATTATAGGGCTTTTCATTCTTGTCCCACATGGACTCATCTAAAGGTCAAAGTTCACTTTGGTGCTCTTTCAGTGTGGCTGACAATTTCTCAGATCTGCACTCTTCTCTGAGGCTCCTCCTTTCCAATTATCTTTCATGCTCTCTCTTCTTTTGAGGTGCCGGCTTGCATCATGATCTGGAGGCTCTTGCAGCCTCTTGCTCTATCTTCTCTTTATTCTTCAAAGGCGTTTTCTCTGGTTACTCTCTTATACGTGTAATTCCATCTTGGTGTCTGATTCTTGGGAAACCCAAACTGGCTTATAATTTTTCTTACTTTCAGTAAAACCTTCTTTGCTGATGCATCATTCATTAATTCATTAAATGTATTGTGTTTTGTATGGGAAAACAATGATGCCAAAGTGTCTATAGCTATATAGTCTGATATATGCTATAATAAGAATTTGGAAAAAGTATTATTGGTTCACAAAGGCAGAAATTTAGGAGGTTAGATACATTTAAAGTAAAATTTGATTAAAAAGTGTGAACTTAAATAGATTAAGATAACATGGGGTGTTTGTAAAATATATTAGTAAAATACAATGACATACCCAAAGTCCTGTTAAATCAAATTAAATATGGCCTGAGAAAAACGCCATACTTCTATATTTCAGTCCTTGTGAATGAACTGCAACCTAACTCAATAGGTACACAAGACTAAAACCTAACTTAGGAATATGCGCCTGTAACAATCGCTGAGTCTTGGCCAATTCCAGCAGCCATACTTCAACTAGTCGCATACAGCTGAGTGTTCAAATAAGGCAAGTGCCAAGCCATAACCAATCCAGCTGTTTCTGTACCTCACTTCTGATTTCTATGGGTCACTTTACTTTGTATTGTCTATAAATTCATTCTGACCATGAGACACCCCTGGAGTCTCTCTGAATCTGCTGTGATTGTGGGGGCTTTCCAATTTATGAATCATTCATTACTCGATTAAACTGTAAATCTATTTTGGCTGAAGGTTTTTTTTGTTTTGTTTTGTTTTTTTTAGCAGTCCTCACCATAATGATCCATACACGTAAGTGTCTAATATAATCTTTCTAGCTTTCTTTTTTGGTTGTGTTTAGTCATACTGTTGCTGATTCAGCTTTGTATAAAATGTCAGAGCAAAATGACTATCAATAATACAGAGATCTGCAAGAATTCCCACACAGGTGAAATATGCATGGTGGAAAGAGGCAATTCTTAAGGCAAAGAGCCAAGCATGTACCAAACACCAATGCCCTTGCATACCAAAGCTAAAGATTCTACAATTTGCCAAAGATAAGAATGTACCTTTCACAACAGCAAGGACCTCATATATTGTCTTATTATATATCCCTAAAATCTAGCACAGTGTTGAATAAGAGGAAGTAGAAATAATTTTGAGAAGGAATTAAACATGTATTTGTAGAAGTCAAGTCTTACCCATTGAAAAAATATCTCCCCCATATTTGTAATTCATTAAATTGTTTGGAAGGGAAAAGAAACTAAAGGGAATACTCCATAGAGAAAGTTGTTTCAGAAATTATGTAAATTTATTCTAATAACTAAGAAATAGTGAAAATGTATTAGAAAGGTTAGGTAGAGGCACATTTCAGATTTAGACTAAGGTGCAAATGGCTTTCTACTTAATGATAGAGAAAAGCATAAATAAAAGTACATTGTATACATGAAATGGTTTTGTTTGAATTGGGTATAGAATATCAAATGAGAAATATATAGTAAGGAATTGAATATATGGAAATACAGATATAGACGGCCAGAGCACCTACTTGTAGCTCTTGATAGCAGAATTATCAGTCAACTGAAAAGATATTTTAAGACCTCCAAGAATAAGTAGATAATTTCTATTCTGTATTTTGTTAATGAAAGAAAACTAGGGTAATAACTGCTTGAATTTTCATCACTAGCATGTTTCCTACATACATAAACATAGTGAGTAGTGAGTATATTCACATATAAAGTAACAAAGAATTATAGTAAACCCCAACATCCAATCGGGAAAAATGTTGTAACTCTATATATTCATTAAATTGTTCACAAACTGACATCTTTTAGCATATAATATGGTTTCCTTTAGCTTGTTAAAGAGCATGGACTCATGACTAAAACATAAGAACACCCAATGAAGTTCAACTAAATCAATTCAACTATGAAAAATAAACTGACTAGTGATCATCTCTTTATTATTATTGAAAGAATAACTTACAAGTAAAAACATTCAATTTTTGAAAACAGCTTTATATTTATTGAATTTATGCATATAACGTTAGTTGCGTTTCAAAATAAAATGGCTGCCTTAAAAGTCATGCAAAATTACATATTTATACATTCTCTGAATTAAGCAGGATTAATTGAAAAGTGGTTATGAAGGCATGACTGCAAGCTACAAATTGAGCCTATTTTTAGTAACTTGCTCTAGCTGAGATGTTATATGTTCAGATTTGTTGACACGAAGCTTTATTGAGAAGCATTACTTATTCCCAATAACTCAAGGAGGAGCCTGTTTTGGGAGGAAAAACCACATCAAGTATGTTTTGTTGAATCAAGAGGATTTTATTTTTAGAAAACTACTAATGATTTTTTCTGAAAACGTGACTATTTTGAAATCTAAAAAAATCAAATATTTGATACTTAACATAATTTGCAACTTGACATAAAACTACTCAGTTTAGTTGGTCATAATATACTCATTCCTAACTTATTCCACTTTACAAAAAAAGTAAAAGAAAAGCATAAATAAATAAGTAAGGAAAGAGAAACAAACAAACAAAAAACATTGGAAACGGACTAGGTAAAAATTTATAGAATCAAGGATTAATTTCCACCAATTATGGCATGAATAAAACCAATCAACTAAAATATATTTTAAAAATCAAGAAGACAGTAGGAAAACAGCCTCTGAGGACCCCTGGAACAGTAATTAGGTGGGCACTCTGTTGGACATTACCATTTTCTTTAATGTTTGTATGAAACGACGCCAATTTATCTTTAAACAATTTATCTTTAAGTTGCTAAGGTGATGCAAACAGCTGTCATGTAACAATCACCAAGAGAGGACCCATTCTAGTTCACAAACTGCCCTGATGCTTTTTATAAAAAACAATCCACTTCAGGATAATGTGTTGTTCCTGGTTTCTATGTCTCTTTAACTTCTTTAAATCAGAAGCATTCCATAGTCCTTCTTCACCCTTCATAGCATCCTAAACATTTTTTGAAGGTAATATTCCAATGGATTCTATTTTTAGAATGTCTCCCAATTTCGATTTGTCTGGTGTTTTCTCATAATGAGGTGTCAAGACATGCATTATTGGCAATAAAATCACCAACATGGTGCTATGCTCTTCTTATCATATTTCTTCAGGTTATATATGAAATTAATTTTTCCCATCAGTGGTGATTTTAATTTTGATCATTTGAAAGGTAATGTCTTCCAGATTTCTCTATTGCAGAGGTACTCCTCATTTTCTTTATATTAATATAACATGACATGAAATGATATTTTATATATAGACTATCTATTGTATACATGTATATATACATGTAATTAATCTAAAATTAAGTGTTTTGTGGAGAGATACATTTCTTCTCCAACATTTACCCACTAGGTTTAGCATCCATTGATGCCTCAACACTCAATCAAATTACAATGTGAAGATTTTCAAATGATAATTTTTTAACATACAATATCAACCCTTTTCCTTTTATTGGTTGGCACTCTGTGGGAAAATAATAGTGTTTCCTTCTTTTATTCATTCATTAATTCATGGGTTTATCTCACGTGGACCCATGGATTCCTATTTCTTTCAGTGGCCCATGATCTGTTCCTTTACTTATTTTATTGATTCAGTTTTGCTATTTTTGCTAGTAGGAACTATTCAAGTTTCTCAGCTCTTTTAACATGCCTTCCTTAGCATTTGAGCACTCCCTTATTTTCCTTGTTTTTTTTTTTAAATCTCAGATTATGAATGGTCATTGCAAATCTATCAAAATATAATGGATTTCTGTATATTATTATTATATCCTGTGATCTAGATAAACACACAATTTTACTAACTTTTTTGCAAATATCTTTTTTATTTTCTGCACAGAATATAATAATATCTGTGAAGAAAGACATTTTTCTTTCTAAATTGTATGTATTCTTACCTCTCTCAATGCATTGCTAAGACGTGTAGTATAAGCTTCAAAAGAATTTATCAGAGCAAGCATGCTTGTCTTTTTCTAGGTATCAGGGCAAAAATATTCAGTCACCTTAATGTTATTGGAAAGTTAAGGTACATAGTATAAACCTTAGAGCACCTAACAGGACAAAATAAACAAAAACATATGACTAATAATCTTATTAATTGAAATAAAATAAAATTCAAAATTAAACACTTAATCCAAGATAAAGCATCAAAAGTGGAAAATAGTAATAAAGAACAGATTAAATTTTATGGAAAATAAATTTTATGATAGTAGATTTAAGGCCAAAATATAGATAACAATATTAAATATAAGTAGTCTAAAACTACTATTTAAAGTAAGAATTTTAAGACTAAATTTAAAAAGTAATGTTAAATCAATATAAAGACAAAGATTGGTCAGAAAAAATAGGTTGAAGATAGCTGTACTTCACCATGATACAGTAAGAGGAACTAAACTAAATTCTTTACAAAACAAACAAACAAAAAACAAAAACACACACACACAAATAAAAACTAACTGCAGACAAAATATAATCAACAGTGATTTTTTAACCATTGACAAGAAGCTGAGGATGCTGATCCCTGACAAAAGAAAAAATAAAATCTGACTTATCCCAAGCTTTCTCTCAGTTTCCAGAAAACACAGTGAAAGGATAATCCAAAGAAAGGATAACTCTCCCTGTATATTGAGAAATTGAAGATTGGGGCTTAGAAAGGAAAATTTAGCTAGAATTGCAGAGGTAAATAGAAGAGAGAGAGCATTTGCACAGAGATGGTGATATGGTATGGCTTTGTCCCCACCCACATCTCATCTTGAATTCCCATGTGTTGTGGGAGGGACCAGGTGGGAGATAATTGAATCATGGTGGCAGGCCATCCCATCCTCATGATAGTGAATAAGTCCCACAAGATCTTATGGTTAAAGAAGAGGGAGTTTTTCTGAACAAGCTCTCTCTTTGCCTGCCGCCATCCATGTAAGATGTGACTTGCTCTTCCTGGCCATCTGCCATGATTGTGAGGTTTTCCCAGCCATGTGGAAACATAAGTCCATTAAACCTCTTTCTTTTGTAAATTTCCCAGGCTGGGGTATATCTTTATCAGTAGCATAAAAATGGATGAATACAGGAATATAGGAAGTGTCTGCTTTTTCCTGGCTTTTATCTTTGCCTGTAACATTCCACCCCAGAGACTCACATGGCTTCTCCTTTCTCTTCAAGTCTTGCTAATCATTCCTTGTTGATTCCTTAAAATCAACACATATAAATGTGTATCCCTTTCTTAAGCAAGAGATCCCTTTCATCCTTTACCTTTCTGTATTTGTTAGTAGAATTAACCATCTGCTAGTATACTATAAAATTTACTTATGTATTATATATATTATCTATTCTAGTGATATAATTTGGCTCCATTCCCACACAAAATCTCATCTTGAATTATAATCAGATTTATAATCCCCATGTGTTGGGGGAGGGATCTCCGGGAGGTGATTAGATCATGGGGTGGTTCTCCCATGTTGTTCTCGTGATAGTGAGTGAGTTCTCATGAGATTTGGTGGTTTTATAAAAAGCTTTTACCCCCTTCACTCTGCACTTTTCCTTCCTGCCACAATGTGCAGAAGGACATGGTTTGCTTCCCCTTCTGGCATGATTGTAAGTTTTCTGAGGCTTCCCCAGACCTGCAGAATTCTGAGTCAATTAAGCCTCTTTCCTTTATATATTAACCAGCATCTAGCAGCTCTTTATAGCAGTGTGAGAACGGACCAATACAACAAGTGAACAGGTATTTTTGCTTATTGTCCATTGTCAAAACCACTTATTTATTTTTACATTGACTATTGTCTATCTTCTATGGTTTGTTACCTCCAACAATAAGGTAATCAAGGGTCAAAATTTTTTGTTTATTCAGTAAAATGCTCTCAGTGAATTGGGCATTGGGTGGCACAGAGTATTTAATGTATCTATTAATTTTGTATATAAATGAATAAATTTTCTAAATTTTGCTAATAATGTTAATAGAAGACCCAAAAAGTATAATCAGTAAATTAGTTGTATTTTGAAGAAAAAAAAGTTAATCTATGTAACAAATTATTGTAAAAATTCTCAGGATATACACTTGAGTAATAATCACTGTAACATTTACCTATTTAAAAAGAATGAAATTTAACAGTGAAGGCACCTGAGTCTGGAATTTGTTTCCCCTAAGAAGGTATTAAATTAAAATTCAGTATCTTTAATAAATCTAAAGATATGAAGAAATTTTATTTATTCTAGAGTAATTGTAAAGATTATTTTGCTAACCATACAATTTATTCAACCATTATCAAATTTATTGGCATAAAGTTTTTATAATTTAAGTTATTATCATTTAGATATTTGTAGTATCTTTACAACACCCACCATCTTCCCAACCTTGCCCACTTTATTTCCTGAAAGTGCTTGCTGACAGATTTCTGTCTTTGTATCTTTCTCAGACTATCTAGAATTTAATTCAGTTTATTCCTTTTATCAAAGAATCCGTTTTAAATTTCATCTTTTCCTTTTGTATTTCTGTTATGTCTTTATAAAATTTTAGTTTTTCTCTATATTTTACTTTCTACTTCTTGTTTAATTTGGTTTTCTTTTCACTTTTTCAGGTAGACATTTGTGTCATTAATTTTAGACATTTCTCCTTTTTCTAATACAAACATTAAAAACTTCGTATTTCTCCAAAGGAATCCTGAAGTTGTAGTGTTTTTATTTTTATCCAGACCAAAATACTTTCTAATTTATCTTTTGATTTACTATTTGCTACAAGGCATCATTAGAAGTTTATTATATCTAAATATTTGGGGATTTCATTGTAGTTTTGGTTTTGTTTTTTATTTTAAATTTAATTCTATTGGGTCAGAGAACATACTCTCCATGATCTAATCCTGTTAAATTTGTTGAAACTTTATTATTTGTTACCTAACATGTGATGAATGTCAGTGCACTTGGAAAATAAAATAAGTTTTTGCTGGTGATGAATATAATATTCCATGCATCCTAGAACTTGTTAGGTTATAATGTCATTGAATTTGTAGATATTTTCTTTAAAATTTTTTATTTACTTGTTTAATAATATCAGAAAATAGTTTTCAAATCTTTAAATATATTGTGGATTTGTATATTTTTCTTCTCAATTCTGTAAGTTTTTGTCTTGAATATTTTAAATGCATAATTGTTTGTTAATGTGTGAAAAAACATTTTGCATTATCAGGTTCTCTTGATGAATTGGACCAATTATATTGATCTTTATCCTGCTAAAAATATTTCTTGATTTGTGGCCCATTTTGTCTGATATTAATAGAAGTCTTCAGTTTTTATATACTTAGTGTTTATACCATAGAAACACTGCCATCCTCTTACCTTAAAAGGGTCCAGAAATTTGAACTTTCATGTAAAATATTTTCAATATTAATTTATAATATTTTATAACATTACATAGTAATTTTGAAAAAATATTTGTTATTTATATAAAAAGCCTGCTGAGATTTGGACTGATATTGCAATTAATCTAGAAATCAATTTAGTAGAACTACCTTCTTAACACTATAAAGCATTCAAATTATTGAACTTGGTTTATCTGTCCATTTATTTAGGTCTGCCTTAATGTCTCTCAGCACTGTATTGCAGTTTTCTAAGTATCAAACAGAATGGTTCATAGTGGATATTTTTGCATTCTTTCTTATAGTAGGAGGAACCATTTGGTATTTCACTATATTAACTATTTTTATATATGTTTATTACTTTTGAAATAATTTGTTTCTCTTGCCTACTTTTCTGTAAGTCTTTATTATGAATATGTGTGAAATGTCATCAAATGCTTTTCTACTTTTAATAAAATAATCCTATACAAATTTTTTAAATCAAAATGTAGATCTGTAGTTTTCTGTTAATCTCTACCTATTTTTTTCCTTTAAGGGTAATCTGTACCTCATATAATGTACTGTTAGGGTTGCTTCCTCTTTTATTTCTGAAAGACTTTGCATAGAATTGTTACTATTTATTCTTTAAAGATTGTGAGAATACAAGAGTGAAACCTTCCTGACCTGGAATTATTTTGTATGTGAGTTTCAAATTATAGATTTAATGTATTTAATAGATGCAGGATTATTCATGGTGTCTCTTTATTTTTAAGTGAATTTTGTAACCTCTTTTCTCTCAAGTAATGTGTCCGTTTACCAAACTTTTAAAATGTATTTGCATAAAGTTTAAACATTGTGTGCTTACTATCATTTTATAACCTGTAGTATAATTAGTGACAGTCTTTCATTACTGGCTTTAGTATTTAGTATTTTTTCTCTTTTTTGTTGAGTATAGCTAGAATTTTTTCATTTTTTAATAAATGAGCTTTTTATTTTATTGATATTCCATTTTGGTGTTCTTTCAATTTTTATTGATTTTTGTTCTTATATGTATTTTATTATTTCTTTGTACCTTAGTACATTTTGACTGCAATAGAAAAATACCTTTTTGTTGTGGCTTATAAACAACATAATTTTATAATTTATAATAATATAAACTTATAACTTATAAATTTACTTCTCATAGATCTGGAGGCTGAGAGGTCTGAAATCAAGGCTCTCAAAGATTTGATGTCTGATGAGGGCCCATTTCCTGGTTCATAGATGGTTCCTTCTCTCTGCATCTTCACATAATGGAAAGAGCAAGGTAGCTCTCTGGGGTCTCTTATGTAAGAAAACTACTCATTTACTATCCTTAATGTAGTACTAATTTAGTACCCTTATAAAAGAGCCCCAGATCTCTACTTTCATGACCTAAGCCCCTCCCAAAAGACCCCATCTCCTAATAACATAAGTTTGGGAGTTAGGATTTCTACATAGGAAATTCGAGGAGACACAAACATTCAGACAACAGCATTCTGTTTTGTTTGGGTTTAATTTGCTTTAGGAACTGATTAGATTCTTTTTTCTTTTCTAACATAAACACATGGCACTATTACATTTATCTAATTCTTTATTTCTAAAAAATTTTTAATTATTATGGATACATAATAGTTGCACATATGTATGGGATACATATGCATACAAGCATATGACATACAATTATCAAATCAGGATTCTGATATTCATCACCTTAACTTGTATAGTTTCTTTGTGTTAATATTGTTTAGTTATCTTAATAAATTGACCCCTTTATAATCAGTGAGTATATTTTCTATCACTGGTCATATATTTCGTTCTGAAATATATTTAGTTTGACATTAATATAGTAACTCTAGTTTTCTATAAATTTTTGTTTGTACTACACACACAGATATCTATGTATTTATATTTACAGTAGAATTTTAGTAGACAGAATTAGATTTCTGATTTTTCATTGATGTGTATGAATGATTTACATGTAATGTAATGTGATTATGAATAAGCTTAGGTTTAAATATACCTTCTTGCTATGTTTTCTATTTATCTTATATGCTCCTTGTTCAATTTTTTATCCTTTTTTTACATTTTGTAGATTAGTTAAATATGTACTTCATTATTTTATGTTATTTCTACTATTGGTTTACTAATGTACTTTTTTTTAGGTTCTGCTTTAAGGTTTAAAATATAAATACTTCTGTTTTAAGGTTTAAAATATAAATACTTCTACTTTAAGTTTTAAAATATAAATACTTAACTCATCACAGCCTACTTTCAAATAACAGTATATCACTTGATATGCAGTATAATACATTGCCAGTTTTTTTCTGCAGACACACATATACTTCTCATAAAATTTTACTTCTGCCTTAGGACTCTTTCTTATAAATGACAATGGAGGGTGGCTGACAATGAAATTCTTTAGATTTTGCTCAGTGCTGAGACAACGTTGAGATGAGCAAATTACCTCTGGTGAAAAACTTAATGAGGAACTCTCTCGGGTCACACAAGGCACAAGTCTTGCACTCTCAATCTCAAATATATAACTCTGAAAGTGAGTAGCTCTTTAGGTTTTGGGACCTAGTTGTGTCATTTACTTTACCCTAGTTCCAAACCTATTTTTAATTTTCTAAAAATAAACGAGCCCTATTTTACTTTAGTGCTTAAAATTTTCTACTTGTTATAAAAATGTAGATAAAGCTGTTTTTTATTATTTAATTATTTATGATTGCTCCATTGTCTCCAAGTTTTCATAGTTTCTGAAGAAAATTGCCCGTATTTGTGTGTGTGTGTGTGTGTGTATTTCTTTTGATGTGGATTATTTTGTCATCTCTGATGCCTTTTAAGATTTTTCTCTTTATCACTGATTTTCAGAAATTAGACAATAGTTTACCTTGCCATTTTGTCTTTATTTGTGATTCTAATAACATTTTGGCAATCATTTCTTCGTATTTTTGGTTTTGTTCTTCCCTACCACATACTCACACACAGACATCCACTCAGTGTTCTTCTGGGACTCCATCTCTTCTTGTATTATGCTGCTTGATATTGTCCAACACAGTGTGGTTGTTTTTTCAAATGTGTCTATGTTTTCTGTTTTGGATAGTTTATATTGTTATGTTATCAAAATCACTGGTATTTTTTCTACAATGGTTAAAGTGCTGTTAAATTTATTCATACATTTTTAATCTAATATACTTATTTTTTCTGTTTTAGGAGTCTGCTTGTTTTTATTTCTTCCATTTTTATTTTCTCATAATATACATATTTTCCCATCTTATTTGAAAAAATAAAGCATATTTTTAACAACTGAATTAACATGTTTCAACACTAATTATTATGTTCATCAAAACCAGATATTGTGAATTCTATATTGTTATGTGATGGATTTTGTTGAATTCCTTTTGTATATTTGTATTTTGTTCTCAAACACAGTTAAATTATTTGGAATCAGTTTGATGCTTTTAGAGATTGCTATAAAATTTTCTTAGAGAAGATGTAGAGTTGCTTTAGGTTTAGGAATGAGTGAGTTCCATCACAAAAGCAGGATTCTTCCAAAGATTCTACCTAATAGCTCATATATTACCCTGTCTTCTACTTTGGTTTGTGGCAACAATAATATTTGCAGAGCTTTCTTGAGCTTTGAGAATTGTTCTTCAAACCCTTTGTGTTGGCATTTTACCCCAGGCTTCTGTTATTTTCTCTCATGTATTCACAGTTTAGTATTCAATGAAGGACTCAATAATTTCCTAGGAAGGTCTGCAGACACACGGTCATCTGTATTCATTAGCATGGGCTGCTATAACAAAATGCCATAGACTGAGAAGCTTATAAACCACAGAGATGTATTTCTCAGTCTAACCTCACATGGTGGAAGAGGGAGGGGTCTCTCTGGCACCTTTCATAAGGGCTCCACTCCCATGATCCAGTCACCTACCAAATTGCCCATTTTTTAATATTATCACCTTGGTGGTGAGAATTTTAATATACAAATTTGGGGAGGTCAATTAGACCAGAGCATAATTCTTGGCAGATAAAAGAAGCCATAAGAAAGCTGGTGTGATAAGACCAGAATGAGCCAGAGGGAAGTTTTAAGGTACAATAAAATATTAGGCTAGACTATTAAAGTACTTTGTCATTAGAAATTACATCTTTCAGATGAAATCTACCCAATCCTTGCTTGTACATCTTGCTAAAGTTTTAACTTTTCCATTGATTTCATTATATTTGTCATGTCTTTCCTATGAATTTAATTTTCAATTATCTTCACTTCTTATACATACTGCTATATATTATTTAATCATTCTGCCTTAAATTATTTTGTGTACAGTTATAATACTTCAGCCTAGTTTACTAGGAACTCATTACAGTTGTTCCCCTGTATTTGTGGGGTACTGGTTCTAGGAACCCTCAGACACAAAAATCTACAGATGCTCAAGACCCTTCCATAAAATGATGTATAATAGTATTTTATACACCTACATCCACACTGTCACATACTTTAAATCATCTCTAGATTTCTTATGATACCAAGTACAATGTAAATGTTATGTAGGTAGTTATAGTGTGTTCTTTAGGGGATAATGACAAGGCAGAATTCCATATGTGTTCACTTTTTCATAAATGTTTTTCCAAATATTTTTGATCCATGGGTGGTTGAATCCACACATGCAGAACCTATGGATATGGAGGGTCCACTGTACTTTTTTCTATCCTCCTAACTACATATTGGTTTCTATTTTTGTCTTTATTAAATCTTAAATTGTAGTCATACTACAAATTCAATCTTTTCTATTGTTTCATTTTTTTCTATTTCTTGAACAGTATTCTGTTTCTGTTTCAATGCATTAGTATCCACTTATTTATGTTTACCAAAATATTATACAGTCAAATAATTCAGGAAGACTTTGAAAATTTAAAGTCAACAGATTTGTATTAGCCTCAGTTATATCATCTGTAATAAATCAGATTATCCTGTCATTAGGATTAAATATTAAAATCTATTTAAGACATCTTAAAGAATATTTGAGATATTATGTATACTTAATATGGATATTTGTTTTCTTCCCTTCATTTTCTGACTTATTTTAGCCTTTTCATTTGTATTGTTTTATGTACCTTACAGTTACATAAACTCCTTAGTATCTGGAAACTTGTCTTCTTATTTTAATGTGCCATTCATCTCCTTAGCACAATTTCTTACACATATATGTTCTACAAATGTTTATTAAATGAATTAGTGTCAACTACATGCATGCTTTATTCATTAAGCTGTCAAAGGATTGATCTGCTTTACAGCTTTGTCAAACTATAGAACTTTAATTCTTTTGCCATACTTTAAAAATAATACATGTTTAGGTAATAATAAAATCAATATTCATACTCATAAAATAACAGATTGTAAAAGCATTGTAGGCTAACCACATACATTTTGGAAAAGAAACTGAAATTAATTCTTAAATTCTTTCAAATTCTTCATCTTATTTACTATTTTTGTAAAGTAAATGTTTATCTTGTATTTTAGTTTTAAGCTCTTAGAATCTTCAACAATATAGTTTTTTGTACATAAAATATTTAAATCAACTTAATCTATGTACATGTTATAAACTAAGTTCAAGTAAAATTACATAAAATGCAACAATGCATTTTATTTTTCTATTCATATTTTTCTAATAAATCTTGTAAGTTTAAGTAATTATTTTAGTTAACGCTATGAAATTCTACCTAGGCAGGTTAGGTGTTAATTTCCCAATTTGTATGCAAACTGAACAATTTTCTCTGCGCTCTTCATCATTTCATCTTTCCACTTAACTTTCTCTATTTTAACCAAATAATATTTATTGTATTTTGCCCCATTTAAACTAATGAATAAAAATTTCCCTCAGTGTAAACTCTATGTTGATGTTTCAAATAGAATATTTTATTCCCTGTGTGTTTTGAGTAGTAGCACCTTTAATGTTTTATCTATTTATATTTGTACAAGGCATATTACACATCTGAAATGAACACAGTACTAATTAGCATAAAGTCAATGTTAGCCTTAGACTTTACAGGTAAGTCTACAGAATACAGAAAGAAAAAATATAATGTCATATGTACTTCTTAAACAGTTGTATCAGTGGAAAAACTGATGATGCATTCATGTTTTCCTCAATATTTAGTGAGGAGAGCAAAAATGAGTAATAAGAAGGCAAGAAAAAATATCCACTGCATGACTGTAACAGGCACTAGATGATGAGGTCATAGAATGTATTCATCTTTATTTATTCAGAAATTAGCTCCATACCTAGCACATAAACACTCCCATCTCAGGTCTCAGTTCGCTTGTGCTTCTGTAACAAAATAGCTGAGACTGATAAGAACAGAAACTTGTTTCTCACAGTCCAGGAGGCTGAAAAGTTCAAAACCATGGTTCTGGCAGGTTTGGCACCAAGTGAGGTCCCAGTTTCTGCTTCTAAAATGGTAACTTGAATGCTGTGTCCTTACATTAGCTAGTTCCCTTCAGCCCTTTTGTAATGCACTAATCCCATCTATGAGTACAGAGTCGTCATGGCCTAATTACTCCTAAAGGCCTGACTTCTTAATACTATTGCATTGAGGATTAAGTTTCAAAATGGCTTTTAGAGGGGAGACAAACATTTAAGCTAAAGTATAATAATCCATATTTTTTGAATGAATGAACAAAAAGTCACTTGCATTTAAATGTGAAAAGGTAGATACTTTCGGTGTCAGTTATTTTCTGTACAATTGTGATTATTCCTCATAAAATTTCAGAGCAATCAGTTGGCTTTCAATTAAATTTACACATTAGTTATAAACATTTTAAATGTTAACTCTGTTTCTACCCTTCATGATATTTAATATGTATATTAATTTTACAAGAATTACTTAAATATTTTTCTTCCAATTTTCTAATTCTCTTTCCCTTGTTGAAATGAGCAAACACACAAAATATCAAGTGACAGATAATGCATTGCTAATGTCTTACTTTGGTAGGATATTTTCATTAGTATTTTAAATAGAACTGAGATTTTTATTTTTATATATTTTTTAACCAAACCTGACTCATATTATAGATGATCTAGAGTATTAATGTAATACAAAACCATTGTATTTCTTGGCACAAAGAAAAAGCGTGGGTCATGTCAAACACCTGCAATGACAGTAAAATCATGTCACAAATAAGCTAATTATGTTGAAAAATGATTATGCACACACTATGTAAAGCATTGTCCTTTTCCTTTGTTGGAGGGCATTTATTCATAGACATCATGTATACTTTCTTCCCAAAGGGTAAGGTTGACCTAGAACCCTATGGATGACCCTTTATAGTTAAGCTTGCCAACTACTTGTCAGAAATGATTAGTGAGAAATGTAGGAAAGAAAATTTCCCCTGTTGATGACAGGGGGCAAATAGAAGATGCCCTGAAGTTGTCATAAGGAATCACATTTTTTTCAATAAGAGTATTTTTTATTTGATAATATCTAATATCACAGATCAACCTTTATTTATACATATTCTAGACATGTGTTGAACTTGACAGGTTTTGGTAATAGAAAATTCTGTGGCAACTCACAAAAGAGTATGTGTGCATTGTAATCATTTTTATTATAAATAATAACTGTGTCTTTTTTTGATAAAATGAAGATATAATAAATCATGATTTCCCCTCAATCATATCTTTTAGAAACTGAGTTTATGTGTCTTTGGATTTATAATAATCCCAAACTCACATTTTATGTTAAAATACTCATTAAAATGCAATAATTTATTACAACTTTATTTTGGATTATATTCTGAATGTCTTACAACATGAAAGCTAAAGAGTGCTATACATTTTTTGAAACAGATTTATGTAAGCCTCACAGTCTGTATTATGAAATTATTAATGTTAGAGTAACATTTTGATCTACTAGATTCATAAAATTAATGAGAATTCTTCAGCTATTATTTTGAATCCTCTCCTTATATCTCTTAATAATACAGATAACACAGATTTGAGCTACAGGAAAATGTAATATGCATTGTGTTTGAACAAAGTGTGTTATAATTTTGGATGTACATCAACCTATACTGTATCCCTATGTTGTGTAAGACTGAATATCCTAGATCATATTGGATTATTACAGTCAATAATATTTTACATTAAACATCAAAAAATAATATGGCATTCATTTACAACCCAGAAAAATGAGTAACTCCCAGGAGAAATTTAGTTTTCATTGCTCCTTATGCTAACAACTTTAAAGTTCAAATGCTAACTTTCTATCTCCATTTTATTTAGAATGTATAATAAATCTTTCATGAAAAAAGATGAATTTCTTTTTTTTTTTTTTTTTTTTTTTTTGAGATGGAGTGTCTCTCTGTCGCCCAGGCTGGAGTCCTGTGGCGCGATCTCGGCTCACTGCAAGCTCCACCTTGTGGGTTCACACCATTCTCCTGCCTCAGCCTCCCGAGTAGCTGGGACTACAGGCACCGGACACCACGCCCGGCTAATTTTTTTTGTATTTTTAGTAGAGGCGGGGTTTCACCGTGTTAGCCAGGATAGTCTCAATTTCCTGACCTCGTGATCTGCCCGCCTTGGCCTCCCAAAGTGCTGGGATTACAGGCGTGAGCCACCACGCCCGGCCTCTATTTTTGAAAGTTACCTTTTGTCATTTTTTTATCTGCAGTAGTGTGGATTAGAAACCTGGCTCAGTCCTACCACTAAAATAATTCTTAAAAGTTGGATGAAACATTAAAAAAATCTTGCTTTAGTGTCACAATGATCAGGCAAGAAGACAATAATTTTATGAAAATTAAGGTTTTACCTTGAGAGCATTCTCTGGTCTTGATAAGGATGAGGCCATGTTTCTTGGGACTGTAAAAAGCAGGGGACCAGAGACAAAGTTCAAAGTCCAGCCAAATTGGAAGTGTAGTAAGAGAACACTCTTACACTATTGGTGGGAGTGTAAATTAGTTCAACCATTGTGGAAGACAGTATGGTGATTCCTCAAGGATCTAGAACTAGAAATACCATTTGAGCCAGCAATCTTATTACTGGGTATATACTCAAAGGATTATAAATTATTCTACTCTAAAGACACAGGCACACGTATGTTTATTGCAGCACTATTTACAATAGCAAAGACTTGGAACCAACCCAAATGTCCATCAATGATAGACTGGATAAAGAAAATGTGGCACATATACACCATGGAATACTATGCAGCCATAAAAAAGGATGAGTTTGTGTCCTTTGCAGGGACATGGATGAAGCTGGAAGCCATCCCTCTCAGCAGACTAACACAGGAAAACCAAACACCACATGTTTTCATAAGTGGGAGTTGAACAATGAGAACACATGGTCATAGGGAGGGGATCATCAGGGAGGGGATCATCAGGGAGGGGCTGTAGGGGGCGGGGGCCTAGGGGAAGGATAACATTAGGAGAAATACCTAATGTAGGTGACGAGTTGAAGGGTGAAGCAAACCACCATGGCACATGTATACCTATGTAACAAAACTGCAGGTTCTGCACATGGACACAGGGAGAGGAACATTACACACCGGGACCTGTTGGGGGTGGAGGGCAAGGGGAGGGAGAGCATTAAGACAAATACCTGCATGTGGGGCTTAAAACCTAGATGACGGGTTGATAGGTGCAGCAAACAACCATGGCACATGTATACCTATGTAACAAACCTGTACGTTCTGCACATGTATTCCAGGACGTAAAGTGAAATATAAAAAAAAAAAAAGAATGCCCTTTTCTGGGGTTCTCACTAATATGACCTGTGTAACTTGAAAATCCTCAAGACAGAAATTTAAAGTGATCTCATTCTGTTTATAACCCTGGGCCCTTGGTACAAACAAATTTATATAATCCTTTTGGGAAACCTATTTCAATTCTATCCTAAAATTATTTGCATAAATATACTTCTATTAGTTAGGAATTGACAGTAAAACAAAACAAAACACACAGAGAAAGATGGTGCATGAAAAGAATATAGGAGGAAAACAGGGAGATAAAAGAATCACATGAAGAAAGACTCCAGATACTGGAATTATAAGAATGTATAACAAACAAGTTTGAATTAAGTAAGAATTAAAATGAATGATTTAAAAGTTTAATTCAAACAACGGTAAACACACAACTGACACATTCATAATATGTTAGAGATAGCTAAAGTGAGAATAACCACATAACGTAAAACATAGTTAAATTCACTTTGACTATTAAGAGATGTATAAAAATGAACAATAAAGAGAAAGGATTCAGTGATATGAAAGACAGAATGAAAATGACTATCATATATTAAACTGGAGTCTAATATATTCATTAGTGAGATTTACTGACATCCCTAATGAAAGACATCAAATTCTCAGATTCAGGAGAAATAAGACATTACACTCAAGATACATAAGATGAATCATTCCTCGGCACACCTAAGTTTTCATCATAAACTGTACCTTCAATCATCTTCATTCTTCCTGACCTGATCTATTTTTCTCATCGTATTTACCACCTTCAAACATATGGTACACATCCTAGTTACTTTGGGTATCTTATATTACAATATAATCTCAAAACAGATTTTGTTGATTTTATTTACAAGATGTAACCAAAGGGCCTAGATTATCTTTATAGCATAGTATATGTTCAAAATTTATTACCAAATAAATATAAAGTACATTTATGAAAGGTGAAGGAGAATATAAAACAGAGGGAAGATCTTCAGAACTACCACAACAAAATGACACATAACTTAAATGTCAAAATACCAACACTGACTTCTTATCAACAGCAATAAAAAGTAGGAAAAAATTTGGAAAATATCCTCAATGAGTTTAGACACACTTCTATACATTAGAGGTTTATAAAACACAAAAACTCCTTTTATAAATGAGTCAAAATAATGACATTTTAGACAAAGAATAACAGAAAATTTATCATCCAAAAGCACCTTCCAAAGAAACGTCAAAAGACAAATTTCAAACAAAGGAAAATGATCACAGATAAAAGATTTGGGATAAAATAAATAATAATGAGAAAAATAGAATATATATGGGAGGTATAAAAAAGAAAATAAAATTTACTTCAATACAAAATTGAAATGTGTAAAGATGTTTTGGTGGGGGTCTCCATTGCTCTTCAGCTTTGATTATTTATTTAAAAAACTCTCAGAACTCAGAGAAGCAATTATACTCATGTTTACAGTTTATTAAAACAAAAGGATGCAGAGTCGTATCAACAAAGGAAAAAGATTCTCAGGGCAAAGTCCAGGAGACTCCAGGCACAAACTTACAAGTGTCCATCACAGCAGAATCACATGCAGATACACTTCAGTCTCCCAGTAAAGCTGCATACAACCACATGTGAATTCTTGGCAATTAGAGCAGCTTATTTATTCTTTGATGTCCCAGGTTTTTATTGGTGGTTAATCACATAGGCATGCAATGCCCAAGTGGCAAAACTTGGCAAATTCAGCTTCCTTTCCATGATCCCTCTAGAACAAAACCAGGCATTCAGCATAAATCATATCTTAGAATAAACGTATCTGGTTAAATTGATACCACATGGTTCAAATAAATACAGCATGGCTCAGGGCCTCAGGCATATAAGTCAGTCATTCACCATAAACCCAAGGCCTCAGATATACAAAAACACTCTTCACGGTAAGACTATTTCCAGAACTCAGAGGCTAGCTAGTCCTAAAAACAAACCTTACCTTTGAATGTGCAGGGTTGAAAAAACCCTGGGCTGCTGAGTTAACACATTCTTGCCTAATCCATATTTATTGTCCCTGGTCTAATCTCTCCTGTAGCAAAACAATCATATTTTTCTGAGCATCTACATTGAATATGGCATTTATATGACAGTAACAACAGTAATATTAACATGAATATGCCTAGCATTTTATGGACACAGTGTAGGGTAAAGATTGATTTTTAAAAATTACTAATGCATCCTACAAGCCCATTACATACACTTTAATATTTTGTACAAACAAAATTATTCATTCCTCCTCTCAATCTGCTTTTATTTTTACTTTTTGATAAATCTGTGCAGAACTATTTAGCATTGAAATTAGATAATGGTTAGCTGAATTCTGTTTTCTCAGGCCATTTATTATTCACCCAGATTACATTCTGAAGAGGCTTTAACTCAATATCTTAATACATTTGATTATCAATATAAGCATTATATAACTTCTCTACATAAGATAGTTGAATCTTACCAACAATGCTAGTGTAATGTCATATTGCAGTATGATCATGTTACAATTCAGTTTTATTACAGAAAAAGTTATTACGAATGATAGAGCTATTTGTTACAGCTACTCAACATAATTGGTTCTTGTCTTTATACCGTATAGTATTATAAATAAGTGTTATTACTACTCACCATGATTTGATTATTTCTGGGTTTCTAATGGGTTGTGGACTTAGCCAGTCACCCTGTCTTAGTTCACAGGCCCTAATTGACAATGGTCTCTACTATATGCTGTCTTACACCAGGATACACTCCCTTCCTATAGACAAGACACAAGAATAAGAATAGTTTATATCTCTGCTACCTGTACTACAGGATGTCTTATCCTTATCTATTCTTGGGGCAATGGCAATAACAATGAATTAATATAAATTATGAGTGACCTCAGAGATGGGGTCCCTAAGATTATATAAATGTGTCCTTCTGCATCTAAGAAGAACCATTACCCTATGGTTATTTAGGCCTCCATCTGTGTTAAAGTGATAAAGTGATGCTATTGAGTCATAATACAAACTCATTACCAGTGTTGGGTCCTAGCATTATCCATCATTAATTGTTGAGTCTACCTTACCAAGTTCACTAAAACTTCATTACTTTTTCCAGGTTGAATCCCATCCCTTCCTCTCTCATAGGTGAGAATTCCCTCTAATCTATTTATTTTAGTTAATAAATCTTCTTTCCTTAAAAGCCATTCATGATTAAAAATGAATTCAGCTTTTCTCACAATGCCTAGATCAGCATCTATCTCCCTGAAGGTTTTTTTCTGTTTGTAGGCCAATGCTTAACCCAAGAGGGTTGTTGTCATTGTATACTAGATTTAACTGGAATGAGGAACCATGTTTTACACTCCAGACTGTTTGGTTCTCAGTATGAGGATAAAAATAAGAAAAAACAAAACAACAAACAAACAACAACAAAAAACAAGAGTTCTCTACAATTTTCGAGAAACAGAAGAGGAAGAAATGCTTCTCAATTCATTTTATGAAGCAAGCATGACACTTAAACAGAAGAAGACAAAGATGATAAAAAAAAAGAAAAGGAAAACAAACAAACAAAACTTTAGACCAACATAACCTAGATGCAAATCTACAAATATACCCTAGATGCAAAATCCTCGACAACTTGAATACGACACTATGTAAAAAAGTGACACATGACCAAGCCATGTTTATTCCAGAAATGCAAGACAGTTGCAATATTTTAAAAAATCTAATAATATAGTTCATCATATTAATATTCTAAAATAGGAGAATGCATGATCAGTTCAATAAATGCAGGGGAAAAAGACACTATTCAACAGTTACTTGTGATAAAAATTCAGCAAACCAGAAATAGCAGAAAATTCCTTCATCTTGATAAAGAGCATACAAAAAATCCATCATATTTAGCTGTGAAACACTGAATGTTTTCCACATGTATGCTCAGGAATAAAGCAAAGATGTTTGCTTTTATCACTCTTTTTCAACATAATACTTAGAGTTCTATCCAGTGTGTAAGGAAAAAAAGGAAGAATAAAATAAATGCAGACTGGAAAGAAATAAGTAAAACTGTTCCTATTTGTAAATAATATGATTACATATGTAGAAATTTATACAGCATTTAGGAGAGAGAAGGAATGTAGAAAAGGGAGAGGAAGGGGGAGGCAAAAACAAAGGGGAAGGAGAAAGTAAAAGAACAGTGGAAGGAGAAGCAGTGTCTCCTAAAATTAAGAAGGATTTAGCAAGATTAGGACAAAAGGTAAAAACAGGTTTCCTGATATTTTTAATTGCATTTCAATAGCTTTCCAAACATAAATATTTCTCAGGTAGTTGAATGCTTTGGTCAATTTCGAGAATGATGGAAGGCTGCTTTAATGAATTTCTAGTGGCCTTTTGTGCAGAGGATTTGCTGGTCTTTTCAAGTGACCATAGTCCACATTGATGGGTTGATTGAATATGGAAACCATCTTGAACTCCCAAGATAAACGCCAATTAGTAATGATATATTTTACAAACACACGTGCATGCACACACACACACACACAGACATGAGAGGATTTAATTGGATAATATTTTGCTGAAGTTTTTGAAATCTAAATTCATCATCAAAATACATATTTGTCTACAGGACATTTTCTTGTAATGTCTGTTTTATGGTTTTGGTATGGGGATAACGGTAGACTCATAAAACATGTTGAAAAGTGTTTCCTCTTATTATTTTGAAATACGTCCCATCAATACCTAATTTATTGAGAGTTTTTAGCATGAAGGGTTGTTGAATTTTGTCAAAGGCTTTTTCTGCATCTATTGAGATAATCATGTGGTTTTTGTCTTTGGCTCTGTTTATATGCTGGATTACATTTATTGCTTTGTGTATATTGAACCAGCCTTGCATCCCAGGGATGAAGCCCACTTGATCATGGTGAATAAGCTTTCTGATGTGCTGCTGGATTCGTTTTGCCAGTATTTTATTGAGGATTTTTGCATCAATGTTCATCAAGGATATTGGTCTAAAATTCTCTTTTTTTGTTGGGTCTCTGCCCAGCTTTGGTATCAGAATGATGCTGGCCTCATAAAAAGAGTTAGGGAGGATTCCCTCTTTTTCTATTGATTGGAATAGTTTCAGAAGGAATGGTACCAGTTCCTCCTTGTACCAAATGCTCATCATCACTGGCCATCAGAGAAATGCAAATCAAAACCACAATGAGATACCATCTCACACCAGTTAGAATGGCGATCATTAAAAAGTCAGGAAACAACAGGTGCTGGAGAGGATGTGGAGAAATAGGAACACTTTTACACTGTTGGTGGGACTGTAAACTAGTTCAACCATTGTGGAAGTCAGTGTGGCGATTCCTCAGGGATCTAGAACTGGAAATGCCATTTGACCCAGCCATCCCATTACTGGGTATATACCCAAAGGACTATAAATCATGCTGCTATAAAGACACATGCACATGTATGTTTATTGCGGCATTATTCACAATAGCAAAGACTTGGAACCAACCCAAATGTCCAACAATGATAGACTGGATTAAGAAAATGTGACACATATACACCATGGAATACTATGCAGCCATAAAAAATGATGAGTTCATGTCCTTTGTAGGAACATGGATGAAATTAGAAATCATCATTCTCAGTAAACTATCGCAAGAACAAAAAACCAAACACCGCATATTCTCACTCATAGGTGGGAATTGAACAATGAGATCACATGGACACAGGAAGGGGAATATCACACTCTGGGGACTGTTGTGGGGTGGGGGGAGTGGGGAGGGATAGCATTGGGAGATAAACCTAATTCTAGATGACGAGTTAGTGGGTGCAGCGCACCAGCATGGCACATGTATACATATGTAACTAACCTGCACAATGTGCACATGTACCCTAAAACTTAAAGTATAATAAAAAAAAAAGTACAAAGCAACCTCTTATTAAAAAAAAAAAGAAAAGTGTTTCCTCTTTTTTATTTCTTAAACTTTTGTGTAATGTATAAATTATATCTCCTTAAATATTAGTAAAATTTGTCAGTTCGTTTATCTAGGTGGGTATTAATAAATTTAAAACAGATATATAGGGATGTGCATTTTATTGCTTTCTTTTTGAGTTTGCCTTAGTTTGTATCTTTTGAGGGATTTATACACTTAATCTAAATTAACTAATTTACATTTATAAATTTCATCATGGTATTCATTTAGTTATCCTTAAACTGTTGTAGGACAATGGAAATGTTACTTCTATCATTCTTTTTTTGTTGTTTATTTGTTTTGAGACAGAGTCCCGTTCTGTCGCCCGGGCTTGAGTGCAGTGGCCTCATCTCTACTCACTGCAAATTCCACCTCCCAGCTTCAAGCAATTCTTGTGCCTCAGCCTCCCGAGTAGCTGGGAATACAGGCATGCGCCATCACGCTCAGCTAATTTTTGTATTTTTAGTAGAGACAGGGCTTCACTATGTTGGCCAGGCTGGTCTGGAACTCCTGACCTCAAACGATCCGCCTGCCTCGGCCTCCCAAAGTGCTGGGATCACAGGCATGAGCCACCAACCCCAGCCACTTCTGTCATTCTTAAAATTTGTAAATTATTTATTTCCTATTATTTTCTCCATAGTCTGGCCAGAGATTTAACAATTTTATTGATCCCTTCAAAGATCTAAATTTAGTTTAATTTACTTAGCTATATAATTTTTCTCCATTTAATGTTGTTTATTTCTTCATTAACCTTTATTATTTTCTTCTTTCTGATTGCTTCAGAATTAATTTGTTCTCATTTTTATAATAACAAGTTGGAAGCTTTCATCATAATTTCAAGGTAATTTTTCTTTTCTAATGCAAGCTCTTAATGGGATAGATTTTTCCCTAAACACAGAAATTTCCACATTTTGATATGTTATACTTTTTCAAATTTCTCTTACTTTTGGTTAGGTTCATGTTTAAATATACATATGTGCAAGAATATTTTCCCTTGATTTATATGGATTTAGAGGTTAAAAAAAGGCAAAAAAAATATTTTGGAAATTTCTAGGAGACTTAGTTCACCATAATTGTTACATAATTGTGCATATGTTGCAAGTAATGTATTGAGAAAAGTATTTATATCTGTATACATGTTTGGTCCTTAATGATGAAATTAATGCACAGTTGTCTAACTGTAATAATTTCCTTATAATCACACTAGTTTTCCTTTGGTGCCACAAGATGATGAATCTCACTTTAGTGTGACCAAGCAAAATGAGGTACAAAAACAGTCCAATCAATGTGAAAATATCTCAAATTCACATGAATTTTAAAAATATTTTATATGTAAATTAAATTAGAAATTAAATATATATAATATATTTTATTTCAGAAATATTTGCTTGCCTTTTGGAACTCAAAGTTCAAAACCTTCTATTGTCATCTTTAAATAACTAATTTTTAAGTTAATTTCTACTTGGTTCTATGAAAATACTACCACACAATGTGGAGATAAAGAAAACATTTACAGAAAAATTGTCCATATGGACACATTTTAAACAGATGATCTAATTAGCATAATAGCCACCAAACTGGTAAATAAACAGTTTTGTTGATTTGCTGCTTAATCAGCATCTATTCAGAATTCTGTAATATTGTTTAGTAAAACAGTTTATTTCCATCCATAAATGTATTTTATAAATTTATGCCCAGTAAACTTCCAGGTAAACCATCGAAATATTAACTGTTTTCTACAAGTGGTGGTCTTTTTTTTTAAGCTGGTTTCTATAATGAATTGATGAGAGTGAATGAAGATTAAAATGCTTATTCTGTAATAAAAGCCAATGCCAGCATGCCGATATATAATCTCTATAGATCAAAAAATATTCGGCCGGGCGCGGTGGCTCACGCCTGTAATCCCAGCACTTTGGGAGGCAGAGGCGGGCGGATCATGAGGTCAGGAGATCGAGACCATCCTGGCTAACGCGGTGAAACCCCGCCTCTACTAAAAATACAAAAAATTAGCCGGGCGTGGTGGCGGGCGCCTGTGGTCCCGGCTACTCGGGAGGCTGAGGCAGGAGAATGGCGTGAACCCGGGAGGCGGAGCTTGCAGTGAGCTGAGGTCGCGCCACTGCACCCCAGCCTGGGCGACAGAGCGAGACTCCGTCTCAAAAAAAAAAAAAAAAAAAAAATTCATGCCTTATTCTCAGATTTTTAATAGTGGCTCTAAGCAGTCTTAAAAATTTATTATTTAGACACCTTATCCTATATTTTAAAAATATTTTCTTAGTATACTGTGGATGTTATACAAGTCATGTAATGGATAGAGAATTTCTTACATAAATTTACAATAAAATTTTTTAAATAAAACTTTTGTGAAATTATTTTCAAATGTTATAAATGTTAATGAGTTTTGTTATATTGGTTCCAATATTTCTCACATATGGAAAATGTCATTTTCCCTGGGAATTAATATTTGGAACTGGTGTTTAAGAAAAACCATGTTTGATGTTGGAAAATGCTATGTCCGGTATAACTATAGATGTTTGGAAAGCAGCTCAGTTATGCTAAAGATAAAGAAAGGAGAGAAAAATGACAGAAGGGGAGGTTTGAACAAAACAAAATAATACCTGAAAATGTTGAATGGATATGTAATATTTGTGAATGTTTATGTTCTCTATTTCACCATTATTTAAACATTTATATTTTCAAAGGGAGAAAATAATTATATTTTGAAATCATTTTATTTTTTTATAGAGTGCTGTATTTTTTCTTTTCAATTTCAATTTGGTAAGCAAACAAAATCAGTCAGAATATTATACATAATTAGGTTTCCTTTTTGAGATTTGTTGAAACTCTTTATCCTTTATGTATGTATTTCAAGTAGTATAATAAAAAAGAAATATAAAATGATTAGATATACATAAAAGTATTGTAGATTATGTTTTTCATATTTTCTTTCTTTTAATGTATTTTGCAGATATAGCCATTCCAGATTATGATTTCACAAACTAAGATGATTCTCAGTAGGGAAGCGTTACTGCATGTCGTTTTCATCAAAGGGAGCTTAGTTTATTTGCCTGTCTGAATATTGACATTATATTACTAATTTACACATTGGGGAAAGGGTCAAGAGAACTCCAAATTTTTGTTGACTTGATATTAACCTGAAAGGGGAATGTTAATAAATGACAAAATATATCCACAGTAGTTAGACATCAAGTTGTGTTTATTTTTTTAATCTACTGCATATTATTGAATTATTTAGATAGATAGATAGATAGATAGATAGATAGATAGATAGATAGATTGATTTATTAGATGTACAGGAAATAGAATTCACTGGTGGGCATGCGTAAAGAGGGGGCAGCTCTTTTCTAATGCAGGGCTAGCTGCTTGTCCAGGGGCCCATGATTCCAGGGCTATATTTGGCCCCACAGCCATCCAGGATGAGTTGTTTCTCAGCCACCAAGTCTTAAAATGTATATGCATTAAACTTAGTAAAATCGCACTTCTTTGAGATGTGGCTTTTTGGGCATTCACTGAACTTGAATTTGGCCCTAAATAAGGCCTCAGTCACATGCTCCAGGGTTTGCAGCTTGGTATGGATGAACATGGCCAATGTGAACTCTGACCTCTGGGTCCTGAGGCTTTCCAAAGGCATACTACATCCGGTCTTAAACCTAGACTAGGGAAAGCACTAGATCCAAGACATAAATGTCCAATGGCAAAGGCTGTTGTACGCAAGGAACAGGCTGCTGTACACTACCTAGGATGATGCTGTTTGCAGCCCTTGCACACCAGGCCCCATGTGGCTTAATTGATTGTAGAAATTATTTTATATATTAAGTTTTTGGGGATTCATATCTTTTATTCAAGATAGCTAAATGTAATTTATATTAGACCATATACAGTAAGTTGTAAATTATAGAAGTTGTGCTTATCAAAATCATATTCAGTGGGCAATATGGCCTTTAATATAATGAAGTTTACTGATAAAAATTAAAATAAAATAATGTGGTTTTGTAGTGCTCTTGTATGTCAACTAAAACAAATTAACAAAACCTATTGAAACCCATAATCATTTAGACTATCTACTTACACTTTGGGAGGCCAAGGTGGGCAGATCACCTGAGGTCAGGAGTCAGGATTTCAAGACGAGCCTGGCCAACATAGTGACATCCCATCTTTACTAAAAACACAAAAATTAAACAGGTGTGGTGGTGCATGCCTGTAATTTCAGCTACTCAGGAGGCTGAGGCAGGGAGAACTGCTTGAACTTGGGAAGGGGAGGTTACAGTGAGCCAAGACTGGGCCACTGAACTCCAACCTGGGTGACAGAGGGAGACTCCATCTCAAAAACAAACAAACAAACAAACAAACAAAAACACAACAAAAAAACTATCTACTTAAATACCATTCTATTAAAATAAATATTTTTCTGTGATCTTAGGTTTGTTTTGTCTCAATAATATAAATAGTGTATTGGTTGTCTCAAAGTGTTAAATGGAAGCATATTTTATGGCATTGCTGAAATATCTACCAACTTTTCTTACTGTAAGTTATGCAATGGTGCATTGATTAATGCATTGGAACTTGTTAAGCAGTTTGCATGTCTGAAAAACCAAGGTTCAGAGGTATGTAGGTTAAATCCGGCAATCAAATATCAGAGAGATATTTCAGAATATTATTTTTGTGTACCAGAAAACACTTTTCAAAAAAAAAAAAAGTAAGGGCATTAGGAAGGCATTGTAAGGTTAATCTTTTCCAGCAAAGCTATTACATTTATTTTTCTGGAGTTCTTTAGTTATAAAAAGTAGAATGTAGTTATAGGATCTAGTCAGCATTAAATTGATTGAAAAAATGAAAAACACTGTTTCATTTTTAAATAGATTAACAATTAAGCAAGTTGTTTATGTTGTCCCACTGATATACTAGAATATGCTACATTCTTTTGGGCATCTTTTAGACCATAGGGCTAAAATGTTGAGAATGACAGAGAGACAATTAGGTGCTCAGCACAAAGCAAAATGTTATGAATCAGGAAAATAAATAGAACAGAGATCAAAATTAGATAGATGCAGAATTGGAATGATACTGAAAACAAGAGATGGAACTGCAGAAAATACTATGGCAGATCATTCATTCCTTTGAATGGTGAAAGTAGTTAATACAATGGCTAACAATTGAAATGGAAAACCAGACCCAGATGAAAAAATGCAAACCAGTAAACTTACCTAGTCCTATTATTTTACTCAATTGTAGGAAATACATGAAAAAAAAAGTTGTTCATTATGAATCCTTTTTTCTAACATGGGAAGAAGTCACCACTAAACCTTTCTCATTTTTTTACTCAAATGTTTGTGTTTTCTCATAGAACTTATAATTTTAATTTATTTTTCAATATATGTTTCCCATACAGTCTAGTTGGATTCATAGTTGCGATGTTTCATGTGGTATATTTGCTCCCTATGGAACAGAACATAACATTAATCTTTAGATGTGTCACTAGAGAGATTTGTATATATCCACATAAATCTACAGTTGCAACTAGAAAAATTATCCTGTGAAAATTTTGTGATATGAATGTCTTTCAACTTTTTAAAATTTAAAGAGAAAATGATGAACAAATATGAGTTGGAAATCAGAATGAACAAATCATGAAAATATAGTGTACCCCTTCAAAAATTTTGAAAATTAAGAGAAATCGGTAGAACAGCTGTATTATCATTTACAAAAATGTTTCTCTACCTATAGAACAAACAATTACTTTGTCCTCTAATTTCCAAATAACTTACAGAACATTTATTTCCTACTGTCACTGGAATGGCAGGCTGGCAGGCTGAGTTGGTAGCCCAATTGGTTCCTCACATCAAAAGATTCCCTTTATTATTTCCTTATTTTCTCTTTAATTCTGGCACTCCTTCATGATTGAACTTACAGATGTTCTTTTGTCTACTAATTTTCGAGTAAGCCTGTGCTCTCTATAACTTTCAGTCTCAATATCCTTCTACCATCAGCCTTTTGTCTAAACATTCTTATTCTGGTTTGTTTCCCTGAACTCTTGACATCAATCTCTGTTCCTTCAATATTCTGTTTCTTCTACTGGAAGCATTCTTTCCCAGATTTCACCCACTTTACTCTTCTCAATCTCTGTGTCTGAGTTAAATGCTTCCTTAGGTTTCTATGTAGGATTGTCTGTCCATCTGTAATTTTTCTATATCTCTCATGTTAACATACTTATATCCTTTACTGAAAAATGTCTCCTTTAAAAAAAAATCAATGTGTTTGTTTACTTTCTTAAAATGCCGTCTTAAACTGCAAGGTCAAAGAAGGTAAGTATGATATTTGGATATTAATATCTACCACTTAATACAGAAACTATTCTAGCACTTGTATAGGCAGTATAAGACATAATTTTAGAACTCTAAAATAAAAACTCATAAACTGAAGTTAAATATCCATTTCCCACTGCTATCTCCTTTTCCTTTTAACACATTGATATCATTTGGATCTGTGTCCCCACCCAAATCTCATGTCAAACTGTAAGTCCCACTGTTGGAGGTGGGGCCTGTTGGGAGGCAATTGGATCATCGGGCGGTTTCTCTTAAATGGTTTAGCACCATCTCCTTGGTGCTGTTCTTGTGACAGTGAGTGAGTTATTGTGAGTCTGGTTGTTAAAAGTGTATAGCACCTCCCCACCTCTCACTCTTCTTCCTGCTTCCAGCCATGTGAAGTGCTGGCTCCCCCTTCACCTTCTGCCATGATTGTTAGCTTACTGAGGCCCCCGCAGAAGCCCAGCAGATGCATCATGCTTTCTGTATAACGTGCAGAACCATGAGCCAATTAAACTGCTTTTCTTTATAAATTACCCAGTCTCAGGTATTTCTTTAGAGCAATGTAAGAAAGGACTAATATAGAAAATTGGTAGAGGAATATGATATTGTTGTAAACATACCGGAAAATGTGAAAGTGGCTTTGAAACTGGATAGTGGGCAGAGATTGGAAGGGTTTGGAGAGATCAGAAGAAGACAGGAAGATGAGGGCAAGTTTTGAACTTACTAGAGTCTTGTTACATTGTTGTGACCAAGCTACTGATAGAGACTCACAATGAAGTCCAGGCTGAGGAGGTCTCAGATGGAGATAAGGAACTTAATGGGAACTGGAGCAAAGGTCACTTTAGTTAGGCATTAGCAAAAAGGTTGGCTGCACTGTGGGCCTGCCCTAGGGATCTGTGGAATTTTGAACTTGAGAGTATCTCAAGTTCTGGTGGGTATCTGGTGGAAAAAATTTCTAAGCAGCAAAGCATTCAGGAGGTAAGCTCACTACTTCTGACAAACTATTTTGATGTGTGTGAGCAAAGAAATGACCTCAAACTGAAACTTATATTTAGAAGGGAAGCAGAGTGTAGAAACTTGAAAAATTTGCAGCCTGGCCATGTGGTAGAACAAAAAGCCCATTTTCAGGAGAGAAATTCAAGCAAGCTGCAGAAACTTGCTTAACTAAAAGGAAGGCACATGCTGATAGCCAAGAAAATGAGGGATACCCTCCAGGGCATTTCAGAGACCTTTGTGGCAGCTCCTCCCATCACAGGCTCAGAGGACAACGAAGGAAGAATGGGACACTACTACATGCATCTCATCTGTTGCAGCTCTAGCCATGGCTCCAAGTGGCCCAGGTACAGCTCAGGATGCTGCTCCAGAGGGTTCAAGCCATAAGTCTTGATGGCTTCCATGTGGCATTAAGCCTGAGGGTGCACAGAGTACAAGAGTTGAGGCTAGATTTCAGAGAATGTATGAAGAAACCTAGATGTACAGTCAGAAATCTGCTGCAGGGTCAGAGCCCTGATGGAGAATCTCTACGAGGGCACTGAAGAGGGGAAAGGTGGGGTTGGAGCCACCACACAGTGTCCCTACTGGACCACTATCTAGGGGAACTATGAGAAGAGGGACACTATCTTCCAGACCCCAGAATGGTAGATCCACCAGCACTTGTACCGTGTGCCTGGAAATGGTGCAAGCACTCAACACCAGCCCTTGAGAGCAGCTGTAGGAGCTGAACCCTGCAAAGTCACAGGAGTGGAGCAGCACAAGGCTTTGGGAGCTCACCCCTTGCAGTGGTATGCCCTGGATGGCGTCAAAGGAGATTGTTAAGCTTTAAGACTTAATAACTTTCCTACTGGGTTTCAGACTTGCATGCGGCCCGTAGCCCCTTACTTTTGGCCAATTTCTCCCTTTTGAAATGGGAGTATTTACCCAATCCCTGTACCCCCATTATACATTATATCTTGGGAGTTTTTGTTTTTTTTTTTTATTTTACAGGGTCTTAGGCAGAAGGGGCTTGCCTCATCTCAGATAAGACTTTAGACTTTGGATGTTTGAGTTAATGCTGAAGTGAGTTAAGACTTTGAGGGACTGATGGGAAGGCATGATTATATTTTGCAAACTGAGAAAGACAAAATTTGGGAGGGACTAGGGCAAAATAATATGGTTTGGATCTATGTCCCCAACCAAATCTCATGTCAAATTGAAATACCCAGTGTTGGAGGTGGGGCCTGATGGGAGGTTATTGGATTGTGGAGTGGTTTCTTTTTAATGGTTTAATACCATTTCCTTGGTGCTATTCTTATGATAGTGAGTGAGTGAGTTATTATGAAATCTGGTTGTTAAAAGGGTGTAGCACCTCCTCACCTCTCACTTTTCTTCCTGCTCCCAGCTATATGAAGCACCGGCTCCCTCTTCATTTTCCCACCATGGTTATACATTTCATGAGGCCTCCCCACATGCCCAGCAGATGCAACATTCTTTCTGTACAGCATGCAGAACTGTGAGTCAGTTAAACCTCTTTTCTTTATAAATTACCCAATCTCAGGTATTTCTTTATAGCAATGCAATAATGGACTAATACACACCTAATAATATTATTTCCTTGAATCACGCAATCAATTAACAAAATCCTCTGTGTGAAATGGCTGGCTTCCTTTTATTGGTGGTTAACTGCTAAACAATATTTTTGGCATTTCAATTTTGTTGTTATTATTGTTCAAAGCTTGTACAAAGCCTCCATCAAGTAGTCCAATTCTCCAGCTTCTGTCACTCCTGGACAACATTTGTATTTAAAAATACCTTTCAGCCAGGTGACACACACCTGTTGTCCCAGCTACTCAGGATGCTGAGGCGGGAGGAACACTTGAGCCCAGGATTTCTGGGTTGTATGCACTATGCTGAGGAAGTGTCTGCACTAAGTTTGGCATCAATATGTTAGCTTCCAGGGAGCAGAGGACCACCAGGTTGCCTAAGGAGTGGTCAACTCAAAAATTGAGCAGAATAAAACTCCTCTGCTTATCAGTAGTGGGATGACCCCTTTGAATAGTCACTGCACTACAACCTGGGCAACATAGTGAGACCCTATTTCTTAACAAAAAAAAGAAAGAACTACCTTCCATATTTCTGCAAGTATGTGAGTTATCTTTGATGTAGTGTTACCTTTTCGCAGTGAATGAAGTGTAATAACCTCTTGCTCATTTTGTTTACAAAAATAAATAAATAAATAAAAGCAGGGACATTCTAAGTGGAATCAAGTTCCAAGTAATACAGACTTAATACTATTTATAGAATAATTCAATTTTATGATATATTTCATGTGTTGCTATCCTCAGTTATATTTACTCATGTATAGTTACACTTGTCAATGTCCTAGCTATAATCACCTATTTTTAGATTTTAATAAATGTAATTAAATTAATAGCATTTCTATTTTTATAACAAGTTCTAAAATTAAGCCACAGTAGAAAATTCATGATAAGATTAAGTTTGATTTTTATTTCACTTTTATATGTATGAATCTTAAGAATTTGGTATTTCCTATCTAATATTTGTCTTTCTGTTCTTGGAAACTAATTTCAAATTATTTACAAGTTTCAGAAGTATGCAGCCAGTGAAGAATCCAATATCATTTTGTTCAATATACCTATAATTTGAACTTAAATAAGTATACTTCCACAAATGTCACTGAAGCAAGTATTTCAAGTATTTATTTCCAGGTATAATTTCAATTATGGGGTATTCAGATATCTTGTTATATCAACAACTAAACATAATATATTACATTATTTGAGATATAAAAAGTATATCTTGAAAACAGTGCAGTTGTAAATCTTTAAGGTAGGAAAGCAGCTCAGCAAATGTTTTCCTCCACTGTCCATGAGGCAAATGTCTAATGACTGTACACACACACTCACACTCACACACATACATACAAATTCTGTCTCAAATATAGATATATATTCACACTCTGATTCAATGAATTCAACCTCATGACTAAGGATTTGAATAGATAGTGTTTTTTAACCTTCATCCTTTCCTCTACTGCAATTTATAATTGAATTAGCTTACTTATTTCCCAGTAAAAACATTCCAGCATTGTGATACTATGATAAGGTTAAGATGTGAAAGTGTTTTTTACCATTTATTATAGAAAAACTATCTTATTTTCAGATTTCTAAGAACCTTTTCAAATCCACCAAGGAAAAGTGTCTATGCCTTATAGATTGAAAAGCTCATCTTTACCAGTTAATTTACATTTTACTTTTTCCTAAAATATAAGGCTCTCCATATCTGTAGGTACACAGTTTGACTTAATTATCCTATGTTATATATTGTACATAATTATATGAGAGATAATGGCAATTTAAACAAATAAAATGATGGCTATTTCTTTTTATTAACTTCATCATATTTCACTGAGGTTTTCCTTACTTTAGGCTTCCTCGATGGCTGCAATGTATGCTAAAAGTAAATTTTTATGTGAAATGTTTAAAATATTTGAAAATGATGCTTATTGTTTGTCAGGTTTTGCCACTGTTAGCATGACTCAGTACCCATAGAGTCTGTCTCTTAGGGATGTGAAGCAAATGATTTCTCTGATCCAAAACATTTCATATGCCTTAAAAGTCAAACAATGCAAAGATGTGATATTTAGAATACTAGTTACATAATAATGGATAATGACTTAGCTTTTAAAACAACTGCTTTAAACATGACACATTTAAAGCTAATTTGTAACTTTCATATGTTTCTGAAACTTTTACAGTCACTAAATAATTTGAGTAAAGCAAATGGGTTTCAGACCGATTACAATTTGGAAAGATTGATTATAAATTTTTAATAATATGTAACAAAGAAAAATGTGGTCACTTGATTATATACCTCTTCCCCAAGATCAAGTAAATACTTTATCAATAGAAAAAAGAAAGAAAAGCAAAAAGAAAAGAAAAAGAAAGCAACACTGCTATATAGAACATTTTTTTTTTCTAAATGGAATCCAGCAGCAAAAAAAAAGATAATTGAAGATACTATTAAAAGATACAATTTAATATTAATATTGACCACATTTATAAATTCACATAATTTTATAAAACATATGCACTTCTGAGTATAAAACACACATAATACAAAAAAGATTATTACATTTTAAATTGTTAAAATTTCCTCAATAGTTTTTCCACACCTGATGATTACTCTCAATCTCAACAAGATAATTATAAATGATGTTTATTATTCAAAATAGATTATTTTGTGTGTGTGTTTTATTCAATTAGGTGGTAAATTATAAGATTTTGCCAGGTGATTCAGAGAAGTAGCCTGGAAAAGTTTATATAGATGGTACTAAATGAAAGATAGAAAATTAAAAATTTATAGTTAAATTTATTAGAAACTTAAAATTCTTTAAAAAATTATAGTTAGGTAAATAAATCAACTAAATTTTTCCTTTTTCCTTCATATTGCAGAGTGTATTATTCCAGCCGGTTTACCATGCAGGCTTCCCAATTTGATACTAATTTTAACCTGACTTTTATATATCAATATTAAAGAGACGAAAAATAAATGTGATTTTCTCCAGCTCTATATCCCTCCAAGGAGAGCTTTGGAACTGAAATCCTAATCAGGGGATACATTTTTAATATTTTTGTCTCAAATGAATTTGGAGTCCTCCATAGTATTTCCAAAGTTGCAGAGCAGAAAAGAGGTTACCAATAAAATTGGGTAGTTCTCATCCCAATTACAGAATTAGGCCAAGTTATCAGATATGCAACAAATATCCACTCAGAAAGATTGAATATTTAAATATTTTAATTTATGAAGTATTAGCCTATTGCTCAGTTAAAGTATTTTGGAAATTTTTCTTTAAAAAATGTATCAAACTTGTGGTTAGATGACATTACTGACTCATTTTGCATCTGATCAAAACAAATAATGCATGAAACAAAGCAATGTAAGTTATAAAGCATTTTAAAATTGAAATAAGAGATCTTTATTTCTGTTGCATATCAAATGGGATTTATTGACTTCCTTTTCTCAAAAATGTCATATAGAAAACATTTCTACCCTCTAAAAATTACTAATAACATTAGCATCAATGATTTACAAGTAGACACAAGTAAGGTGAAACACAGATTAACTCATACCATCAAATTCATATGGCCAAGTATAATCCCATTATATAACTATTTTCTATCACTAAGCATAGTCCAGCTATAAGTGTAAAAGGATGACGAAAAATGTTGCTAAAACATTAAGTGAAAATATACTGAAAAGAATCCCCAAAGACAAGAAATACAAGAACACACCAATTTGCCATCACACTTTATGTTCAGCCCTTTAGTGAAAAAAAAAAGTTTTCTAATTAATATTTCATTTACATTGGGGACAAGTACATAATGTAGTCATCAATTTGCTTAGATTCTGAAATACCATTCATTTATGTACATATTTTCTCTATTCAAATGTACTATTCACATCACTTGTCAATTTGCATATATTAAATCATCATGCAAAATTTACCATATTTTGAATATTTTATTAATAATGACCCTTTTCTACAATTTTTATATGCACTTAAATTTTAAACAGCCAAACATTCAAAGGCTTAAAAATCAACACTTGAATTTTAAAATACTATTTGTATGAAATGAAATATTTAATTACAAATGTTAACTATATGTTATTGCTGTAACTATTGGGATAGACAGTGGGCAGTTAGTATAAGCTACTTTGTTAATAAATAAAATTTTAAAAATAATCAATGGAATGTTCATTTCAAACTACTTTGTTATTTCATTTCATTTAAATTTAGCATAAACTTTACTTCGGCAGCCAATTCCTTAGTTGTTCTTCTCCATTAACTCATGACTACTTTAGCTCTTGATGCTAAGCATGATGATGTTTGGTTTCAGAAGTTGCCACATTAACAATAGGATCCTTGAAGCTACAATCATGCTAAGCAATTTTGACAATTTTATATTTTATAGGGCCTAGTTCTAACATTCTATTGTTATTTAATTTTATAAATATTTTTAAAAATCTTGTTACTAAATTAAAAATAGACCTCTGGAAAATAAATCGAAAGGTTTTTTTGTTTTTTGTTTTTTGAGACAGAGTCTCACTCACTCTATCACTCAGGCTAGAGTGCAGCAGCCTGATCTTGGCTCACTGCAACCTCTGCTTCCTGGGTTCAAGCGATTCTGCTGCCTCAGTCTCCCAAGTACCTGAGAATACAGGTGCCCACAACCATGCCCGGATAATTTTTGTACTTTTAGTAGAGATGGGGTTTTGCCATGTTGGCCAGGCTGGTCTCAATTCCTGACCTACATGATCCACTCATCTGGGCCTCCCAAAGTTCTGGGATTACAGGCATGAGCCACTATTCCCTGCCAAATTAAAAGTTTTTATATGAAAAAGATATACACAAAGCAAAGATACTTTTACAGTATGAAAGTGAATTATAATTGAGAAAAATATCTGCAGGCCATAATAGAATAGTTCTATTTCAATAGTTCGCAAACAATTTGTTAGTTCTGCTAAATAAAAAAATTTCCAACACTTGTTAAAATGGTTAAGGATCACTTTATTTAAGATTAAAATGATAGGTGTCAAGATGATTCTAATAGGCAAGAGAGATAAGGTTCAACTCTGAACACAGCAAAGATATCTGGGAAGTGCAGCTAATGAGCAGAGTGAAAGGTTGTCAATGAATACAAATTACTAAGAGGAGACATCAAGGGTAGGGGATTTCTTGTTAGCTAACGTAAGAGGATTCTTGCTGAAGGCAAGCCAGAGTGATCAGATATCAAGAGTGGGAGATTCTCTCTAAACTGACTTAGCAGCATTCTTGCAACAGCTGGACTAGGCAGTGTAAAGACAGGGCCCAAGGACAAAGTAGAGTCAAAAAGAGTGTTCCTAGAAGCCTGACTAAAGCGTAGACAAGAAGAAAGTCTTCATCAGTTCCAAAGTCACTTTCTATACTTATGATTTGGCCATGAGCATTCCTATGTTTACTTAGTTTGGAGGAGTGGACTCAGCAGCATGTATGTTATGGGAAAAAAAGAGATTTGGAAAAATTACTTACATAAGTTTGAAAGGCAAGATGAATCTGGCCATATGGTAAAATCCAACAGAACTCTTCTGGTTATGAGTAATTTGTAAAATAATTCATACATTGCCCATTATATGCATTAGATATATGTAAATTTTACCATGCTTATTCTTCAGAACAGAAAAAGTGAAATACAAAGGCAAACATGGTAAAGCAATTTATTTTAGTTTTTGTGAGTTGTTCTTCTAGAGTATGTTATATGACTCTATGCCCTCAGTTTGAAACTCTCATTGAACCATATCTAAATTAACTAATAAAATGAACTTTGAATTATATATGCCACTGTGTGCAAATTAACATTCATTGACTGTATGTGTATGTAAATATTGGCCAGTAAACAGAGCCATTTACATCTTCATAAAGAGAATAACACTTCCAACTAAAATTCCTTCTAAAATTGGACTCATATCAATTGGAAGTATTTCAAACAATTACTAAACTGATTTACTTGAACAAATATAGAAAATATTATCTAAGCTATGTGTACCTATTTTTTTATATTCCTAGAAATTAGGGGGAACTTTTATTTCCTTTGATTGAATATGAGTTTCTAACTTAACAAAATATATAATAGTGAGTCAGTAAAATGAATACTTTTACCAAGGATGGAAAGTGTTCTGAATTATCTAAAAGACATTTTCATTGCAGTTAACATTTGCCTGTGTAGATCAGATTAATATTAAAATCTATTTTTTTCTTTTAACAAAATTTAGCAAATGAGGAATTTTCTATTGGTTCATTTCTTCTGACATTTCTTCTATGTTGACCCTTCTTCCACTTCATGTTGCAAGATGTGAGATCTTACTTCACTTATCACATTCATATTCAAGGCAAACTAAATAGAATCGGGATGATAGGCTTGTACATTTATGCTTTTTTACAGAAACCTTTAGAGAAGTGTTCAGCTATACTGTATCTCACCTATAAAAGGTGGTTCACATTTCCAAATGGATAAAGGCTAGAAAAATCAAGAAAAAGAGCTGTCATGAGTACATGACAGCAAACATAATTTGGGGCTTAGACTCCTGACCAAATTGAAGTTCTGTAAGTAAGAAATTAAGAGAAAATTAATATTGGGCAGGCAAAATCCATGTTGGTATATCCTTATGCATATAACTAGAAATATATTGCTAATTTTAATAAACTTACTTTCAAAAATGTATTCTGTGTTATTATACTTTAACATGTGTTCATTAACTGTGTGTGTTCCTAAACCTTGTCATATTTGGATATGATTTTTAGCAATAAATAGTGGGGCAAGATGGAAAATCTGAAGTTTTACAAAAACTAAATATAAGACAAAAACAATATATATTCAACTAAAAAGGAGTTGGCAACAAACTTCTCTGATTCTATATCAAATCCCAAAAAACAATGGAATATGTATCAGTAATTATTGACTACCATAGGGTAATAATAATAATAAATGGTCATAAAATAAATTAGTTAATGGAAAATGATAGATATTAATTATTGAATGATAAAGCACAATGTAAAACAAAATGATAGAAATAATCATACTCACAAACATAACAATCTGTATGTACAAGTCTAGGTTTTCCAAATTAAAGCTGGTTACTCACAAAATCCTTGAAAAGAGTGAGAAGTTGGTGGGGTGATTATATTTTTAAGCTATGAAGTCAGATAGTGTGATGTTTCATCTCAGTACCACTATAAAATAAAGTTTTAATCCTGTTCATGTCAATCTTAATTTTCACTAGCTTTTTAGGTAAGGAAAATTCATGTCCATCCCTTCCTTGATTCATCTCTTTCAAAAGCAACACTTTAAATGGTTGATGACTTAACATCACTGCAACTATTTTCTCCTTCATTTAAGAACATAATCAACCATTTATGTGAGCATGTTTATTTTACACCTCAATTTTGGCTCAAGGAATATAACACATAGTGGTTTCTTTCTTTCATTTGCCATATCAAATCCATGAACACCTGCCTTTAAGATGTATCAGATTACTTTTACCTCTTACTAGCCATGTCCAGGCAACTGCCAAAGCACTGGATCATTGGAATAGCTTCATAAATGATGACCCTATTTCTCTCACTTTCATTCCTAGAGGCTGTTTTTCAGCCAGGAGTCAGAATGATTATAAAACATAAATCAAATAATTTCACAGTCTTGCTCATAGCTTTCTAATTGTTCCCCTTCTCAAAGTAAAACCCAAAACCTTGTCATTGTTTGTGAAAGAAACAATATGGGATCCTTCTCCATACCTCCCCCAATTTATTTTATCACAGCCCTCATTGTTTTGGTCATTCTATCCTTAAGAGCCTCCTGATATTTCTTGGAAATGCCAAGATTCACCCACCTTAAAAACCACTTTGTTTTTCTGTCTTTGAAAGAGACATGCGCTGTAGATATTTGCTTGCTACTCTACTTAATTCTAGACATCTCAGCAGAATTCTTTTGAGAGGCAGACAGTCACTCTGGATCTGCATTCAAATTTCACCCTAGAACTTATCCGCATGTTAATACTGCGTTTCTTTTTTTAATTTTTCACTGCCTTTCTCGCCCAAAAAGAAAGAACGTAAGCTCTTCCTGTCAGGGACAGCTATTTTTTTTTCTGTTTTCTCTTTTTCTTAACCTGGCATGAAGACACATTTCTGGCATAGAGCAAATAAATAATAAATATTTGTTGAATCTAGTAGGTTTGAAGAGGCAGCTCATTATACGTTTCGTTTGCATTTCTTTAATAACTAATGATGTCGAGTATGTCGAGAATGTTTTCTTCAGTATTCTCAGTCAAATCTTGCATAAGTTAATCCTTAATTTGTCAACTGTTGATTCATTTTGCTCTGTGCTGTTCTCATGATAGTGAATGAGTCTCACGAGATCTGATGGTTTTAAAAATGAGAGTTTCCCTGCACAAGCTCTCACTTTGCCTGCTGCCATCCATGTAAGACGTGACTTGCTCCTCCTTGCCTTTCATCTTTCGCCATGATTGTGTGGTCTCCCCAGCCACATGGAACTGTGAGTCCAATAAACCTCCTTCTTTTGTAAATTGACCAGTCTCAGGTATGTCTTTATCAGCAGCATGAAAACAGACTAATACAAAGGTTACATAAGAAAATAAGGACAACCACAGAATGGGACAAAAACTTATAAGTCTTATATCTGATAAGGAACACATGTTCCAGACGATATAACCACTCTTACAACTCAATAAAAAGACAACGCAATTTAAAAATGGGCAAAAGATGAATAGACATTTCTTCAAAAAGATGAAAAATGGCCAATAAGCATGTGACAAGGTGCTCAATAACATTCATTATTAGGGAAATGCAAATCAAAACACAATGATACACCACTTCACCCCACTGAGATAACTAAATTCAAAAGACAAACAATAAGGAGTGTCAGCAAGAACAGGAAACTGGATAAGAACCTTCATTCAATGCTGAGGGAATGTAAAATCTTGTCTGTTTTGGAAAACATTTTGGTAGTTTCTCAAAAATTAAAACAGAGTTATCATATGATCCAGTAATTACACTCCAAGGTATATACTTAAAAGAAATGAAACCACACAAAAACGTATACCTGAATGTTCACAGCAGCATTATTCATCATAGCCAAAGTGGAAACAAGACCACTCAAGCCAGCCCTGCCTCGGAACCTGACAAAGTTAAATGGAAGCCTACACAGCTGAGCCGCATTTCCATGGGAGACATTTTGGTCATTCCAGGTGATGATGAACTACACCAATTGTTAGTGGCTGAGAAGAACCTCAGGAATGTGCGAGCATCTTTTGACTTTTATTTTGGGGGGCTGCATCTACTACCACAACATGCAATATGGGTAACACTGGCATGGCTGGTTAGATTTGATTACCTCATGCAAATAAGTCATGTGGTAATACTGATATTGATGATCAAATGTATTGGGAGAGTGAGTTAAAGTCTCCTCAGGATGTAATACCAACGGAAAATGAGTCTTTAGAAGAACTATATTTAGTTAACCATCACCTAATTTCCAGATAAATAGTTCTGCACAGGTCATATAAGATACAAAGAGCAGTAGATCAAGGGGGAGGATGATCTTGGGGACTCCTGAAATATACTGTCAATAACCCAGATATCCTCCAGTAAATAAATGGATATACAAAGTGTGGTATACATACATATGTACATACAGTGGAACATTATTCAGCCATAAACAGGAATGAAGCACTGATACAGGCCACACAATGAATGAACCTCAATAAACCGTAGAATCCTGCTACGTGAAAGAAGCCAGTCAGAAAAGACCAGATATTGGATGACACATCTATATAAAATGTCCAGAATAGGCAAATCTAGAGACAGAAGGCAGATTCATGGTTGTCAGGGGTTGAGGGAAGGAGGAAATGAGGAGTGATTAAGTGAATTAATGCATGTTAACACCTTAAACTTTGGGCAACTGCCCAATCACACAGACAGTGCAGTCTCATTCATGGGTTACATGACAAAACAAAGAGAAAAGCCTGGGTAGAAATACCAACATGTATGTTATGAAAAATATAACACCTAAATAAACAGAGAAACTATGTTCCTTAATGAGCAAATTCAATATTATAAGGTTGCCAATTCTCCTCCCATAGTTTCTCAAAAGTTGCAATGTAATGCAATTTTAATCCAAATGGCATGGTTATCTAGACAAGAAAAAAATTGATTGTAAAATTTATATGAAATAATAAAGGTGTGAGAATTGCAAGGAAAATTTTCAAATGGAAAATTATTACAGGAGAAAGGAGTGTGGAGACCTTGCTCTGTATGGCAGAAGTCAAAGACAGCTACCATCAATTCTTTCCCTTCCTCAACACACATTGCTTCTCAAGAGGTGAGGAATAGCTCCCTTCCCCTTGAATCTGGCTGCCTTGCAACTTGCTCGATCCATAGAATGTGACATAAATTCCATTCTGGGAATTCTGCTATTGTATTTTTTTTTTTTTTTTTTTTGAGATGGAGTCTCCCTCTATTGCCAGTCTTGAGTGCAGTGGTGCAATCTCAGCTCACCGCAACCTCCGCCTCCCAGGTTCTAGAGATTCT
Source organism: Homo sapiens (assembly GCF_000001405.40). Taxonomy (NCBI): domain Eukaryota; kingdom Metazoa; phylum Chordata; class Mammalia; order Primates; family Hominidae; genus Homo; species Homo sapiens. Next base: position 39,876,799 of record NC_000009.12, on the reverse strand, counting down.
CCTGTCTCAGCCTCCCGAGTAGTTGGGACTACCGGTTCACACCACCATGCCCAGCTAATTTTTGTATTTTTTTTTTTTTTATTGGAGACGGGTTTCACTATGTTGGCCAGGATGGTCTCGATCTCATGACCTTGTGATCTGCCTGCCTTGGCCTCCCAAAGTGCTGGGATTACATGCATGAGCCATCGTGCCTTGCCCGATTTTTTTTTTTTTTTTTTTTTTTTAAGAAACTGAAGCCTCTACTTCGGTCTCTTGGTAGCCTTCCTCCTGGGAAGCTCTTTCTTGAATCTAGTCACCATTCCATTCCACCACGCCACATATGTCTTCTCCAGGCAACAGCCAACATCAATTGTCAGCCATGTAAGTGAGTTTCAGATGACTGTGGCCCCGGCTAATGTTTGACTGTAGCACATGTGAGAGGCCCCATGCAGAACCACCTAGAAACATGGAGAGCAGTCACCCTGCAGAACCATGAGTAAGTTAAGCTTAGGGGTGGTTAATTATGCAGAAATAAGTAAACAGAGCACTCCACCAGGTATTAAAGATTATTACAAAGATTATGTAATTAAAACAATACAGAACAGACCAGGGTTGACTACAAGATCAATGGGACAGAATAAAGTTACATATCCAATGCCTGCTGCTGACCACAGGGATTTGTCACAGATCTCATCACTTAGAAACCCTACAGTGGTTTCCCTGGTCACCTTCCAGTCACCACTACACCTTGGCTCCTTTTAGCACTCCTCCCTAGCTTATCACTATATGAAATTGCTTTATCTCTTTGTATTGTCTGTCACCTGCCACCATAATGTGAATTTCTAGACCTCCATAGCATGCAAAGCTCTAGAACAGTTCTTAGAACACAGAAGGTGCTTGACAAATATTTTCTGAAAGAAAAAGAAGATACTTCAATACCTCAGTTTACTAAGGACGTGGGGCTACCATATGGCTGCCTGAACAAATACAGCTTGACATTCACTTTCTTGCTACTGATTGAAGTGTATTAACTTGTGTAATCACACAACTACCCTATGGGGTAGGTGCCCTTATTTCTCCATTTGGCAGAGAGGGACTAAGTATCTTAACCAAGGTCACACGGCTTTCAAGTGCCAGAGCCAGGACTCAGATCTACATAGGTCTGGCTCCAGAGCCCCCAATCTAACCTCTTAACCTCTCTGCTTTACTGGGCTAAACCTTCACCACCTATCATATGGAAAAAGAAATTCAATAGAAAGTTATATGGAAAAAATACAACCCTGTGTTAATATTAGAAAATCCATAGTAACATGTAGAATGAGGAAGCTTCCTCAAGCCCAACTATACAGGTCAGATCGGTTGAAAAAATAAAACTAACAAATTTTTACATGTCAAAATATGCAATATTTGAAAATCCAAGGCTAATATCTTTAAATAGGCAAAGATTTATTAATACTCCTTGACACACAAACAGGAAGTGAGAAAATGGGCAACTGACACAAATCGATAATTAACTGTGAGGACATAGGTGGTGGAGTCTCTCCTAATCCTCTATTCTTGGAGATCTGGATGCCTGCCATTCGCGTATGGGAAGAACAGAGACAGTCATGGAAAACAGCATTTGATCTAGAAAGGACCATAATGAGGTCAAAGGGCGGTCTCAGGGCAGTCTTAAGAGCTCCCCATCCCCAAAGAACTGGCAAGGACTCTCCAGGTGCTCGTATGCGACTGCTGCCCAACTCCCATCACGAACTCAGGAGACCTGTCATTTTCTGAAATTTTCATGACTTCTAAGACACTAGTTATTGGGGAAAATTTCAAATTATTTAAATAATGAGAGGCGAATAACATTGCTAAACTCATGAATACTCTGTATTTAAAACCTCCACTGGCGATCAGGGCACATAGAATCTCTACTACTGATCCCTGACGCTGGCCATCCCCCAACCCGTCGGCCCACGGACCCCAGCCCTGACCCCACCTCCTCCCAGCATCTTACACAAGGATTCTCACCACACTCCCCAGAGACTCGCCTGCCCAGGGCCCCTCTCTAACCCCATATAGCTCAGGTCTCTGATCCAGAGACTGCATCACCGACCTCTCCTACTACCTATTTCCAGATTAGAGTCCCTGATCCCAGAGGCATTGTCTAAAATAACTAGCTCTTACAACTACGTCCACTTCAGGAACCGCCCTGTGATGTCAGAACTTTGAGGCCGCCCGGCCAGGGCTGCACATGCTCAGTGAGGTCGGCGCCCGCCAGTAACAAACATGGCTCCCTGAAGCCGCTCAGGCTCAAGAGCAACATGGAGGTCTGCACTTAATCGCTCCTCTCCGGGGGCGGCCATACTGAGGAGGCATCTCTTCCGTGCAGGCAGGCTCTCCTGGGGACCTCAGAGATTCTCTCCAGCGGCAGCAGAAAACGGGCAATGGGTGGATTCGGGTCCAGATTCTGGCAGGAGGGAGTTTGGGATCGAGATCTGGAAAAAAGCACTAGACTGGAAGAGGACGCGATGGAGTCGGAGCCGCTGGCGGGTACAAAAACCAGAGGCCGGGGAAGGCGCCGGTGGGAGGCAAGGCACGGATGGACTTTACCTGCGCACGCGTCGCAGCCATCTCCGCGCACAGTGGTGGCCACCGCGACTGGTGCTGAAGTGTCGGCGTGTGCCGGGCGCTCCGCTGGGACCCGGGTTGCTCGCCCTGAGTCTCAGCTTTCTCATCTGTACGGTTGGGACAAGTACAGTAACCCTCGCCCGTCAAGACGGGCCAGGGCTGTGGCGAGGGTCCACGCCTTAGAGCAGGCACCTATCTTGTGCAGGGCCCTGAGATGGGGTCTGACTCAGTTCCTGCGGGGAACTTCACCAGTGACCCAGTCAGTGCCCTTCAGTTAAAGACCACCAGGAGCACACTTGTAAGTAAATATAATTACATTGCAGCAAGGAATGGGGTACTATGGGTCATCTCAGTGGGAGGAGTTAGAGAGAAACTATTATACGATTTGGACTTTAATTGGTTGATTTCGGACAGGATCTCAGAAAGTGAAGACTTTAGATTGGATGCTGTCAGAAAGCAGGAGCAATATGATTATTAAGTATTTTGTGGGTGGCATCAAGACCTTGTTTTTTATCTGCACTTAGACAACATTATAAAGTGCCCTTGTTTTTGTTTGCACTTATCACGGTCTCAGATTAACCTTCTGAAGTTGATATTCTGTGAGATTGTTTATGTCCAACAGGAAAACAAAATGTCCTGGCCATGAACATCAGACCAGCGTGTAATCACATTAAGGCCTGTGACCAAAATATTGACAGAATTGAAGTTAGAAATAGTTCTACAGTAACAGAGTCTTCAATACTCCATTTAAAATAATGCATAGAAGCTGGACATGGTGGCTCATGCCTTTAATCTCAGCTACCTGGAAGGCTGCGGCAGGTGGATTGCTTGAGGTCAGGCGTTCGAGACCAGCCTGGGCCTTTTGGCCTGTCTCGGCTTTTAACATACCTTCCTCACTCAGCTTAATCATTTCTCACTTTAGATTTATAATAAGAGATGTGTGACTCTTACTTTCACTTGAACACATAGAGGCCTTTATAGAGTTATTAATTGGCCTAATTTCAATATTGCTGTGTCTCAGAAAACAGACCTGAGGAGAGGGTGAGATGGAGGAAGGGCAGATCGATGGAACCATTCGAATACACATATGTATCAATTAAGCTCATTGTCTTTTGGAGCATGGCTTGTGATGCCCCAAAACAATGACAATAGTAATATCAATGATCACTGATAACAGATCACCATAACAGATATAATAATAACAAAACATTTGAAATATTGCAAGAATTACAAAGATGTAACACAGAGGTGCAAAATAAGCACATGCTACCAGAAAAGTGGCACTGGTAGACTTGCTTGGTGCAGGGTTGCCACAAACCTTCAACCTGTACAAACTGCAATATCCGAGAAGCATAATAAAGTGAAGTGCAATAAAACAAGTTAAGCTTGTATATGTATGCATGCACACACCAGTACACATCCACCTATCCACACACAAATCTTTGTACTAACAAAGCCTGTATTTTCAATTCCAACAATACATCATTTGTACCTTAAAAATCTCTGTCATCCTTGTAGTGTCCTTTTCTGTCTTTGTTATCAGGGTAATGCTGGCCTCATAAAAAATGTTTGGAAGTGTTCCCTCCTCTTCAACTTTTGGAAGAGTTTGTGAAGAAATCGTATTAATTCTTCTTCAAACATTTGGTAGAATTCTCCACTAAGCTATCTGGTCTTGGATTTTCCTTTTTCAGGAGCTTTTTGACTACTGACTCAATATTTTTAATCATTATTTATCTGTTTTTATTTTCTATTTCTTCATGTTTCAGTCTAGTGGATGTATGTTTCTAGAAATTTCTCTATTCTAAGTTAAACAATTTGTTGACACATAGTTGTTTAGAGTAGACTATTATTATCCTTTGTATTTCTATGGTACCAATTTTAATATCTCCTTTTTTGTTCTAATTTTATTTACTTGAGATTTCTTTTTTCTTGGCCTAGTGAGAGGTTGGTCAATTTTTATTATCTTTTCAAAAAATCAACTCTTCGTTTCATTCATCTTTTCTATTGTTTTTCTAGTCTATTTCATTTATTTCTGCTATGATCTTTGTTATTTCCTTCTAATTTTGGGCTTGATTATTTTTTTCTATTTTTTGAGGTTTATTTGGGATCTTTTTTCTTTATTTAGCACTTATCTGTATAAACTTCCCTCTCTTAGAACGGCTTTTGCTTCATCTCATCAGTTTTAGTATGTCGTGCTTTCATTTTAGTTTGTCTCAAGATATTTTATTTCTTTTTTGATGTTTTCTTTGATCTACTGGTTATTCAGGAGTGTGTTGGTTGATTTCCACATATTTGTCACTTTTCTAAGTTTTCTCCTGTTTTTAATTTCAGTTTCATGCCACTGTAGTCAAAAAGAATACTTGGTGAGATCTCAATCTTCTTAAATTTGCTAAGACTTGTTTTCTGGCCTAATATATGACCTATGTTGGAGAATGTACTGTGTATGCTCGAGAAGAATGTGTATTTTGCTGTTTTGGAAAGGAATGTCATGTATATGTCTGGTCCATTTGATCTATAGTGTAGTTCAAGTCAGCTGTTTCCTTATTGATTATCTGTCTGAATGATCAATCCATTGTTGAAAGTGGGATATGGAAGTCCCTTACTGTTATTGTATTATTGTTGTCTACTTCTCTCTTCAGATTTGTTAATATTTGCTTTATATAATTAGGTGCTCCAATGTTGGGAGAATATATATTTGCAGTAGTTATATCCTCTTGATGAATTGAGCCTTGTATCATTCTATAATGACTTTCTTTGTCTCTTGTTACAGTTTTTGACTTAAAGTCTATTTTGTTTGTTGTAAGAATAGCTACTCTTTCTCTTCTTTTGTTCCCTCTCTTTCAGTCTATGTGTGTCTCTAAAGGTGAAGTGAGTCTCTTATAGGTGGCATATATTTGGTTCTTGTTTTACTATCCATTCAGCCACTCTGTGTCTTTTGTTTCACTGATTTGGTCCACTGATATTTAAAGTAACTATTGATAGGCATTTTGTAGTTTTCTTGTTCTTTTATTTCTCTCTTGCTGTGCATGATTTGATTACTTTGATTATTTTCTGTAGTGGTATACTTTGATTCTTTCCTGTGCCTTTGTATTAATTCTTTTTTAAACGTGGTAAAATTCTCATTTGTGTATCTGTTACATGTTTGTCTTTGTGATTATCATGAGGCTTACATAAAACATTGTATGCTATCGTGTGCCACACAAGGATGTTTTGGTCAATGATGGGCCACATATACAACGGTGGTCCCATAAGGTTATAACATTTTTATTGTACCTTTCATATGTTTACATACATTAGATACACAAATGCTTATGATTGTATTACAGTTGCCTATAGCATTCAGTATAGTACAATGCTGTACAGATTTGTAGCCTGGAAACAATAGGTTATACCATATAGCCTGGGTGTGTGTTAGGTGGTATTATCTAATTTTGTGTAAGTATACTCTATGATATTCACACCATGACAAAATTGCATTATTCAGAACATATCCGCATTAAGAAATGCATGATTGTAGTTATAATGGTCTATTTTAAGTTGATAACAACTTAACTTCAATCATATACAAAAACCCTACACTTTACTCCCCTCCACTTATGTTTTTTGATGTCAGAGTTTCTTTCTTTGTATATTTTGTAATTATATTTATTTGTAGTATTTTTTGTCTTTTAACCTTTTAAAAGTTAAAGTGATTATACTGCATCATTACAGTATTAGGAGTATTTTGAATTTGACTGTATAGTTACCAGTGACTTTTTATAACTGCATATGGTTTCATGATACTAATTAGTCTTATTGCATTTCAGTTTGAGGAACTCCCTTTAGGGTTTCTTATAAAGCAGATCTAGTGACAGTGGACTCCCCTAGATTACTGTGGGGGGTTTCTGAAAAAGTCTGTAAGTCCTAGCCAGAGCAATTAGGTAAGAAAAAGAAATAAAAGGCATCCAAATTGGAAAAGAAGTGAAAGTGTGTCTATTTCAAGATGACATGATCTTATATAGAGAAAATTCTAAAGGCTCCAAAAAAAAACTGTTAAAATTAAGAAACAAATTCAGCAAATTTACAGAACACATAATTAACATTAAAAAAAAAAAAACCTATTGCATTTCTATATACTAACAGTGAACTATCCCAGAAAGAAATTAAGAAAACAATCTCGGGCTGTGCGCGGTGGCTCACGCCTGTAATCCCAGCAATTTGGGAGGCTGAGGCAGGTGGATAATGAGGTTAGGAGATCGAGACCATCCTGGCTAACATGGTGAAACCCCATCTCTACTAAAAATACAAAAAATTAGCCGGGCGTGGTGGTGGCCGCCTGTACTCGGGAGGCTGAGGCAGGAGAATGGTGTGAACCCGGGAGGCAGAGCTTGCAGTGAGCTGAGATCACACCACTGCACTCCAGCCTGGGTGACAGAGCGAGAGTCCATCTGAAAGAACACAATCTCATTTACAATAGCATCAAAAAATTAACTTAGGAATAAATTTAAATAAGAAAGTAAAATTTCTATATACCAAAAACTATAGAACACTGATGAAAGAATTTGAAGATAAAAGAATCTCTATTACTCAGTGTGATCTACAGATATAATGCAACCCCTATCAAAATTTCAGTGGCATTTTTCAAAGCAATGGAAAAAAGCAATTCTAAAATCTGTGTGCAACAGACCCCAAACAGTCAAAACATTCTTGAACAGAAAAAACAAAAGTGGAAGCTTCACATTACCTTATTCCAAACTAAATTATAAAGCTATAGTAATTAAAATAGTATGGTACTGGCATAAAAACAGACATGTAGGCCAAGGGAAAAGAATAGAGAGCACAGAAACAAATCCATGCCTTTACAATCAATTGATCTTCAGCATTGGTGCCAAGAAAACACAATGATAAAAGTTTAGTCTCTTTAATAAATGGTGTTGGGAAAACTGGATATCCACATGCAGAAGAATGAAACTGAACCCTTATCTCACCCCACATACAAAAATTGACTCAAAATGGATAAAAGACCTCAACCTAGGAGCAATATTGTAAAACTCTTAGACATAAATATAGGAGAAAAGCTCCTTGACACTGGTATTGGTAATAAATTTTCAGATTTGACACCAAAAGTATAGACAACAAAAGCAAAACTAGACAAATGGGACTAAATCAAAGTAAAAGATTCAGCACAACAAAGGAGACAATCAATACAATGAAAAGACAACCTAAAGAATGGGAGAAAATATTTACATGCTATATATCTGATAAGAAGTTAATATCCAAATAAATTAGGAACTTAGACGATTCCAAAGGACCTTGTATTAGTCTGTTTTCATGCTGCTGATAAAGACATACCTGAGACTGGGTGATTTATAAAGAAAAAAGAGGTTTAATGGACTCACAGTTCAACACAGGTGGGGAGGCCTCATGATCACAGTTGGAAGGTGAAAGGCATGTCTTACATGACAGCCGGCAAGGCAGGATGAAAGCCAAGCAAAAGGGGAAACCCCTTATAAAGCAATCAGATCTTGTGAGATTTATTTACTACCATGAGAACAGTATGGGAGAAACTGCCCCCATGATTCAATTGTCTTCCACCAGGTCCCTCCCACAACATGTGGGAATTATGGGAACTACAATTCAAGATGAGATTTGGGTAGGGACACAGCCAAATCATATCATTCTGCCCTGGCTCCTCCCAAATCTCATGTCTTCATATTTGAAAGCAAATTATGCCTTCCCAACAGTCCCCCAACATCTTAACTCATTTGAGCATTAACTCAAAAGTCCACTCTCCAAAGTCTTATCTGAGACAAGGCAAGTCCCTTCCAGCTATGAGAACATAAAGTCAAAAGCAAGTCAGTTATTTTCCAGATACAATGGAGGTACAGGGAGGGTGTAAATATACCTGTTCCAAATGGTTGAAATTGGCCAAAACAAAGAGGCTACAGGCCCCAAATCCAAAATCCAGCAGGCCAGTCAAATCTTAAAGTGCCAAAATGCACTCCCTTGACTCCACGTCTCGCATCCAGGTCACACTTATGCAAGAGGTGGGCTCCCATGGCCTTGGGCAGCTCCACCCCTGTGGCTTTGCAGGACATATCCCCCCTCCTGGTTGCTTTCATGAGCTGGCATTGTCTGTGGCCTTCCCGTGTGCATGGTCAAGCTGTTGGTGGATCTACCATTCTGGGGTCCAGAGGACGGTGGCCTACTTCTCACAGATCCAGCAGGCAGTACCCAAGTGGGGACTGTGTAGGGGCTTCAACCCCACATTTCCGTTCTGCACTGTCCTAGCAGAGGTTTTCCATGAGGGACCCCCCCCCACCCGCCCCACAACAAAATTCTGCCTGGACATCCAGGTGTTTCCATACATCCTCTGAAATCTAGGCAGAGGTTCCCAAACCTCAGTTCTTGACTTCTGTGCACCCACAGACTCAACACCATGTGAAACTGCCAAGGTTTGGGGCTTGTGCCCTCTGAAGCCAAAGTCCAAGCTGTACCTTGGCCCCTTTTAGCCATGGCTAAAGTGGCTGGGATGCAGGGCATCAAGTCTCAAAGTGGCACACAGCAGGGAGCCCCTGAATCCAACCCAGGATTTTTTCCTTTTAGGCCTCCTGGCCTCTGATGGGAGGGACTGCCACAAAGATCTCTGACATGTCCTGGAGATATTTTCCCCATTGTCTTGGGGATGAACATTTGGCTCCTTGTTGCTTATGCAAATTTCTGCAGCTGGCTTGAATTTCTCCTCAGAAAATTGGTTTTTCTTGTCTATCATGTCGTTTGGCTGCAAATTTTCCAAAGTTTTATGCCGTTTCCTTTTAAAACTGCATGCTTTTAACAGCACCCAAGTCACCTCTTGAATGCTTTGCTGCTTAGAAATTTCTTCTGCCAGCTACCCTAAATCATCTCCCTCAAGTTCAAAGTTCCACAAATCTCTAGGGCAGGGGCAAAATGCTGCCAGTCTCTTTGCTAAAACATAGCAAGATTTACCTTTACTCCAGTTCCCAACAAGTTCCTCGTCTCCATCTCAGACAACCTCAGCCTGAATTTCATTGTCCATATCATTATTAGCATTTTGTTCAAAGCTACTCAACAAGTCTCTAGGGAGTTCCAAATTTTCTCATGTTTTTCTGTCTTTCTGTGAGCCCTCCAAACTGTTCCAACCTCTTCCTATTACCCAGTTCCGAAGTTGGTTCCACATTTTTGGATAACTTTACAGCAGCACCCCACTTTACCAGTACCAATTTACTGTATTCATCTGTTTTCATGCTGCTCATAAAGGCATACCAAAGACTGTGTAATTTATAAAGAAAAAGAGGTTTAATGGACTCACAGTTCCATAAGGCTGGGGAGGCCTTACTTATGGTGGGAGGCTAAAGGCACATATTACACAGCAGCAGGCAAGACAGAATGAAAGCCAAGTGAAAAAGGAAATCGCTTATAAAACAATCGGATCTTGTGAGGCTTATTTACTACCACAAAAACAGTATGGGGAAAACTGCTCCCATGATTCAATTGTCTCCTACTGGGTCCCTCTGATAACACGTGGGAATTATGGGAGCTACAATTCAACATGAGATTTGGGTGGGGACACAGCCAAAGCGTATCAGACCTGAAGAGATACATTTCTAAAAGACATACGATTGACAATAGGTATATACTAAGAAAAAGATGTTTGCCATTACTAATCATCAGGAAAATGCACAATGAGATATCACCTCACATCTATTAGGATGGCTATTGTAACAGTAAAAAGGTAACAAATGTTGCTGAGGATATTGAGAAAAAGAAACCCTTGTGCTTAGTTGATAGTTGATGGGAATGTAAATTGGTACAGCCATTAGAGACAACAGTATGGACTTTCCTCAAAAAATTAAAAATGGAACTCCCATATAATCCAGCAATCCCCATCTAGGTATATATCCAAAGTAAAGAAAATCACTATCTCAAAGAGATATGTATACTTACATGTTCATTGCAGTGTTATGTACACAGCCAAGATATGGAAACTACCTGTGTCCATTGACAGATGGATGTTTTAAATGTATTACACACACACACACACACACACACACACACACACAAGGAATATCATTTAGCCTTTAAAAATGAGGAAATACTGCCATTTGTAACAAAATGGACAAACCTGGAGTTTATTATGGTAAGTAAAATAAGCCAGGAACACACACACACAAATATCCTGCATGATTTCACTTATATGCATACTAAGAAAATGTCAAACTCATGGTAACAGAGTAAAATAGTGCTTACCAGGGCCTGGGAGTTGGGGGAAAAGAAAAAATGTTTGTCAGAAAGTACAAACTTTCAGTTATAAGATGAATAAGTTCTGGAGATCTAATGTACAGCATAGTGACTAAAGTCAATAATAATGTATACTTGAAATTTGCTGAAAGAGTAGATCTCAAGTGTTCTCCACCACACAAACACAAATAAAAAGGTAACCAGGTGAGGTGATGAATATGTTAGCTTGATTGTGGTAATCATCACTTCACAATGTATATGTATATCAAAATAACACACTGCACACCTTAACTATATACAATTTTTCTGTTAATCAATAGAACTGGCAAAAATATGTTATATGTTGCCTTGACTCCATTTCTTCTTATTTTGTCAAAATAGATAGTTCTCATTGTTTGCATGTTTAGAAACTTGTGCTACATCTAGAAGCCAGGAGTGGGGTAGGGTGAACTAAGTTACTGATTCTTTAGGAACCTTAGGGTGTAAGGTGGGACTGGAGTTCAAGGCCTAGGAGCTGAGTCTGGTCTTGATCAGCCTCTTTTTTTGTTTTGTTTTGTTCTGTTTTGAGACGGGGTCTCACTTTGTTGCCCAGGCTGGAGTGCAGAGGCACGATCTGGGCTCACTGCAACCTCTGCCTCCCAGGCTCAAGCAATCCTCTCACCTCAGCCTCCCAAGTAATGGGAACCACAGCCATGTGCCACTATGCCTAGCTAATTTTGTTGTATTTTTGGCAGAGATGGGGTTTCCCTTGCTGCCCAGGCTGGTCCTGAACTCCTGAGCTCAGGTGATCCACCCACCTCGGCCTCCCATAGTGCTGGGATTACAGGTACGAGCCACCACGCCTTGCCATGAGCAGCCTCTTCTGATATCCGTGGTGTGTTCTGTACACTTTTTTTTTTGTCTGAATGCACCTTTCCTTTCTCCTCCCTTGCACTCCAGAACCGTGGATACTCAAGTCTATCCTGAACCATATAGAGGAGGAGCTTTGAGTGCTATATGAAATTCATTTATGATATCATTCTTCATTCCTTCACAGAAGTAACTCAGAGTTCAATTAGGGATTCACATGGTAAATTTGTCTTAATGCTCCAAGTGGGCTTAAAGGAACTTCCTTCTTGTCGGCCATCATGTTTGTATACAACTGTAATGGGAATTTGAGTTTGTATGACTAGTGTCATGAGCACTCATGTTTGTGAGCACACCTCTGCATCTGCTATTTCTTCTATTGGCCTACAGACTTTTCCTTCTTTAGGATATTATCAACTTGAATTCAAATTTTTATCAAAAATTGGACCTAGCTCTTTTTATTCATATTTTCCTGCTACATTTTTTCCACTAATTTATTTTCGATAGGTTATATTGTGTTTTTTGACACTTAAAAATTTTACCTGACAATCTTAACCTTTGATTTATGTAATTATTGTTCCATTATGACTTCTTTCTGTCATCTCATTTATGATTTTTCATACTTTACTGTGTCTTTTTTCCTATTTGTACCTCTCACTCTATAGATCAAAAATTTTTCATTTGTTTGAAATCTGGAAATTTTTAACATAGTAATGGTGGTTATGTCATTACTTATGTTAATTTTCTCAATTTCCTCCATGTGTCAAAATTAATATCATCTCAGCAAACCAAATAAGTACTCTAGCCTCCTCTTGCCACCTCTGGTTTGCTTTCTCTGTTACGACAGCACTTTGTCTAAGGTGGTACTTTCTGAAGTTTACTCGGAGTTGTTTTCAATATGTTATGTTTTCATGTATTTTTTAGGGTATGATAAACACCACTACCATTGATTCTGGAACCCTCAATTCTAACACCACGGTGTATTTCTCTTCTTAGTGGAGTATGTCCTCTAGGCATTTTCAAAGGGATTTATTTGAAATAAAACTTTTGAGGCCTTACTTTATAATGTCTTTTTCTGTGCTTTCATATTTAAAAGATTTTGGCTGCAAATAATTCAAGGATTAAAAATTGTTTCCTTTTAATCCTTGAAAAATATTACTTCATTTTATTCTTGTCTCCAGCATTGCTGTTGGAAAGGCTGACGCCAATCAAAACCAATTTTTCCCTAAAGGATGATCTGTCTTCTCATCATTTTGACAGGATGTAACAAAACAAAGGAGTCTTCAATGTTGTGAGTATAAATCATTTTGCAATTATAAACTTAACTTAAATATTAATGCAATACAAAAAGAATTAAAACCTTCTTGAGACATGCAAGTGCACAGGAAAATTAACTATCATGCACTCATTCAGGAAGAAAAGGTGCAAAAGAAATTTAATGAAAGAGACGGTCGTTAGATGCAAGTGTGGTTGAATGTAGGGATGCGATGCTGACAAGTGGCAGCAGGCCTGGCAAGCTGTCTATCCCAATTCAACTACTTCAGAAAGAGAAGAATATTAACTAGGCTATCTTGGTGATGTGTTGAAAAAAGGTGCTATGTTTCCTTTTTAATCATTCAAAACAAAGGTAGTAAAATTCCTGGGAAATAAGAAATAATGCATCATAAATGTATAAAAATAGAAGAAAATACTATATTTTTATGAATTTAAAATGCCAGCTATTGTAGATTGTTATCTCTTTTCAGAAGTGCTTTAAAATTGATGGCACATAGTAAAAAAATGGCATAAATTCCAACAATTAATGGAAAAACATTAATCCATCTTCTTGAATCTTGGAACCAGGATTCTTTTGGGAGGCTTCGGTGTATCTGTGTATCATTTCATTGCCTTCACACAAATCAAATCATGCCACCTGCGACTGTGGTTTGAAAAAAAAAGAAAACATAATAATGATGCTGTCAATTCACTTGAGATTCCATGATCAAAATTAACCTATGAACAAAGCACAGACTTTATTATAATTACAAAATAGGATGTAATTTACATAGAATGTGAAAATATAAGTATAGAACCATATTTGATACAAGTCGAAAGCTATGACAGGGACTGTTGGAGAGGAGGGAAGTTGTACACTAATCTCCACATCCTACTGAGCCAATCAGTGGTGTTCAAATTGGATGGACTGTATATTTAAACAATATATTATTTAAGCAAAGAATTAAGCACTGTAAGTATATTATTTAGAGGAAGCAAATTTTTAAAAATCCCTTAAAATTATATATTAAAGACTAAATTGGAAATATAGTTTTAGAAGAAGAAAGTGGGGTAAATGGGCTAGGTGCAGTGGCTCACGCCTGTAATCCCAGCACTTTGGGAGGCCAAGGCGGGCGGATCACGAGGTCAGGAGACCAAGACCATCCTGGCTAACACGGTGAAACCCTGTCTCTACTAAAAATACAAAAAATTAGCCGGGCGTGGTGGCTGGCGCCTGTAGTCCCAGCTACTCAGGAGGCTGACGGAGGAGAATGGCGTGAACCCGGGAGGTGGAGCTTGCAGTGAGCCGAGATAGCGCCACTGCACTCCAGCCTGGGTGAGGGAGTGAGACTCCGTCTCAAAAAAAAAAAAAAAAGAAAAAAGAAAAAAGAAAAGAAAGTAGGGTAAATGAGCTATATTCTCTATCGTTCATAAAAAGTCAAGGGATATTACTTAAAACTGATAAAACAAATTAGGTGATTATATAATATTATTTACAGTTCAAGAGAATAGCATATAGTAAAAAAAAGAGTATGATAAAACCTGCCTAACTCTGAAAAACAGGACCAAGGTCTGTGGAAGGAAAAAAAAAGTTTCTGGTTTCCACTGATTTTTTTGCCATCAAACTGTTTGAATGATTTTCCATGCACATGTGTTGCTTTAATTTAAAAATGTTCTTACTCACAGATCCCCTTGAATTACGTGTAAAATTAGGTTTCCTTTAGTCAATGGTGTATGAAAAGTAATCAACTCATCTAACTGAAGTTAGACATTAATAAATTATAATTTGGGGGATAACATAAATATACCTATTAAAAACAACCAGAACATAACAGTTGGCTCTATGTTCTGCTTATCTAGGAATTCTTAAAATTATAAAAAAAAAAAAGAGTTTCACATTTTTAAAGAAACATTAGGAATAAAAATGTAAGTGTTTCTCTTGGATAAAGCTCTTAAAATCACTAGTAGAATAAAGTCAATCTAGATTAAAATTTATATTTTCAAATTTATAATATGACCAATATTGCCATCAAAATGTTCAGGCACAGAACATTTTAAAGTAGCTATTTTATTGTTTCTCAACATCCTCTTTCCTTCTATGATTGGCATCACAAATCATGATTGGGACATCTTATCAAAGAACTATACTTGTAGTTTTTGAGTGAAAAGCAAGGGAGAAATTTTATTTGTGCCTTGACCTTATTGATAATGTGTAACTTGTGATGGCCACTATCAATAGAACTATCAACAGATTCGAAGGGCACTGTTTGTTCCTTTAATACGGAGAAATATCGCAAATAACTGGGAAATAATTTAATGACTGAAGCCTTCATTTTTAATCATATAGCTGAGTGATATTTTAAGTTTGATGAGAATAAACATTTGAACAAAAATAGCCAATTCCCTGTTTCATAATTTAATACATTTGTGTTAAAAGGTTTAGATGATAAAGTTAATTTTGAAATGCATTATAAATAACTAAGTAGCAATCATTAAGTTCATTTTTAAATAACTGTTTAGATAACTTAGTAATTAGCAATCATTAAGTTCATTTTTAACTAACTGTTTAGTCCACAAAAGATAAAAAATATATTTTAGAAGGAGAGGGCATTCCAAAATCTGTCTCAGGGACATTTAATGTCAAATATCTTTCAATGAAACAGAAATGTAAATACATGTTTAGATAATTTAGGTTAAAAAAGGTAAATTTTGGTTGCCTGCTTAACTTTTATGAAACAGATATTTTCATTCAAGTCCAGCATATATTTTGCTATGACTTCCACATCCTTTCCTCAGAGAATATTTACCTAAACATTAGGGTACCAAAGGAACTAGGAAACAAAAACTTCTTATTAGAGAGAGAAATTTTTAAGTGAGGCACACATTCTAATGATAGTAATTTGTTTTTGACATTTTATTAATATTTTGATAACACTAATAAAATCCAAAGGGGCAAGCAGGTATTACTGTCTCAGGGTGGGCCCTCTTTTGTCATCCTCTGTAAGATCGCAGTCATCAAAGAGCGTGACCCAAGAAGAAAGTAAAACAGTGGAACAAATGAGCATTTCTCTAAATACAAACAGTAGAGTCCTTGAGAAAGAATCCTTTAAGGCCTTAGATTTCTTTAAACATTTTTAGATAAATAGTCTGGCCTATGCAGAACAAAATGAAATGGTGATAATGAACAGGATAGTGAAGTTTTGTACTGACATAAATGGCGAGTTGATTAATGCTTAGGATAGTGTGAAAGAAGAACTGAATGAAAAATGCAAATCGAAAGAAGAAATACCCAGACAGACCCTTTCCTAAAACATGCATCATAAAATATTTAAAAGCATCTGCTTTAATGCATGGGCTGAGTCAAAGTAAGGCAAATTTTCAGATATCTAGAAGAGCAAAAAAAGTCTGAATCCAGAGGTGTGAGTGTCTCATCTGGCATTTGCCCTGCGGTGTCTCCCAGGACCTACTGGCCCAGACCCATGAGCACCTAATTCAGGAAACAGAGACTGATGCCCATGCAGGAAGGAATATAGGCTAAAATGCCTCCTGCATAAATCTAGGATTTCTAAAAAGAAGCACGTTAAGTGCCTGGGCTAGGAAAATCCCACCCCCATAAGAAAGTGAAAATATGTGCTTGTCTTGGTCCCAATAGGGTAGACAAAAAAATGAAAAATAAAAAACGTATGATAATTTCTAAATACAAAACAATAGCCATATTGGTTTGGGTTTGAATTCACACTATCTATGGGCCTGAGAAATACCAGGGTGGAAATTAGCCTCTGGTAGCAAGAGCTGAGGCCAGCCAGACTTCCTGGGTCGAGTGGGGACTTGGGGAAATTTCCTGTCTTACCAGAGGATAGTAAAATGCACCAATCAGGAACTTACCTGTCTCACGAGTTCTGTGAAATGTACCAATCAGCGCTCTGTAAAACGCACCAATCCATGCTCTGTAAAACACACCAATCAGCGCTCTGTAAAACACACCAATCAGCAAGCTCTGTAAAAACGCATCAATCGGCAGGATTCTAAAAGTAGTCAATCACAGGGAGGATTGAAAAAAGGGCACTCTGATAGGATAGAAACGTGACAAATAAGGGAATAAAACCTGGCCACCCCCCCACCCCCACCCCAGCAGCAGCAACCTGCGTGGGTGCTCTTCCCCGTTGTGGAAGCTTTGTTCTTTAGCTCTTCCCAATAAACCTTGCTACTGCTCACTCTTCGGGTCCTTGCCATCTTTAAGAGCGGTAACACTCACCGTGAAGGTCGGCGGCTTCATTCTTCAAGTCAGCAACACCACGAACCCACCAGAAGGAATCAACTCTGGACACAGCAGTCCTGAGAGCTAATTAATCTGAGTAGAATCATAAAGATAAATATATTTTTCACACATACTTGGAAACATATTTTGTAACACAGCTTTTCTTGTGGTTAAGTGAAGATAGTAAATTTTACAATAAGCAACACTGGGACCACTGGTCTCCATAAGGGGGAAAAAAGGAAATTGAAACTTAATCCCATAGACCAAACCTAAAAATATATTTTAATGGATAAAGATACCTTCTCAACATTCTTAGAAAAAAACTGTGGAGCATCTCTTTTATCTTTACATAGGGAAGAAGAACAAACGGCAAGAGTAAAAACTAACTTGATCACATAAAAATTTAAGACTTCTGTTTATTGGATACCGCAATGAGAAAAAAATATGCAAAACTTGGCAGAGATATTTGCAACACATGTTACCTAGACAGGTTTAGTATCCAGAATATATAAAGCTCTCCTATAAATTAATAAGTGAAAAATAACACCTCAAGAAGTTAGCATAAATAGCCCATAAGCATGTGAAAAAGTGCTCAACCTAATAATAATCATGAAAATGAAAATTAACAATTAGATACCCTTTCACACATATTGACAAAATTTTTTGGAAGTTCTGAAAGGTGTAGTATTGGCAAGGATAAAGAACCGTGGAAGCATTCATCCCATGCAAGTAGAAGGACAGCCATTTGGAAAACGGATGTTAGCTCATACAGCTGATCATGCATGTACCCTATGACCCAGTGGCTTCACTACAACCTAGTGCAATCTAGTCAGCCTGTTACAGGCCCCAGAAAAATTCTTGCATTTGTTTACCTAGGGATATATGAGAATGTTCACAATTTTAAAAACCTGGAAACAATCCAGTTATCTCTCAATATGGGTAGATTGTGGAATAGGTAACTAAATGATCATATATTCCAATAATAGAGTACCTCGCAGCACTAAGAGTGAATGAACTGCAGCTACTCACATTCTCAAACACAGCACTGCAATGAGATACTACTGCATGCATATTAGAATGGCAAAAATCCAGAACTCTGACAACACCAAATGCTGATGAGGATGTGA